>NC_000004.12:136497138-136800168 GCF_000001405.40 Homo sapiens | reverse complement strand
ACTAAGTGTCTGTTGATGGAAAACCTCAAAATTAGATAGAGAAAAAATCCTTTCAGTGGTTCACAGCGAAAACTTATTTTGTAGTATCAAAAACAGTAGCGTTAAGTTTAAATTCCAAGCTGTGGGACTAATTTTTATGGCGGGAATAGCACCAAGCCTATATACAATGGCACACAGATGCAGATCCCTTATCTATACAACTTACATAAAGCCTATCAGATAATTCTACCTATATTTTAGAACTTTGCAAAAAAATTGAGTACTAATTTATTCCAAAATAATGAGGAATTATGAAGTTAAGTAGGTCTTTTAGACTACCACATATTCTACTATGGATAACTTCTTTTATTCAGACTTTAAGTTTTTTCATCTTATTCAGTATTACACCGTTTACTAGTAAAAGGATCTACAAAATAGATCCTTGTCACAGAGCCTTTGACATTACCTGAATTGAGGTGGAAACAGCCAATATAAGGACTTCATTCTATCAAGTCTTTGACCAACCACTTACTCTGTAGCTAATTTTATTAGTCTGATAATTCTATATATCATAGAACACATCGCTGGAAAATGTACCCTGTCATTTATTACTAGCATATGACCCACAAAATTCTCCTTGGATTTTGATTCCTTTCAGTTGGGCTGGACCATCCGAAGCTTAGAAACACCCCATGAAAATAAATTTAAGACAGATATGCTTCTGTGGCCTGTTCTTGCCCTTTATCCATCATGGGCTCTGCTTGGTTTTCTCTTTATCATCTAAGGTTGGATATCTCCTCCAGGTTACACAGGACATAGCAGTTGCTTGAGATGGAACAATCTAAAAGCAAATGATGTAAGTTAAAAGAACATACAACCTGATATAGTTTGGATATTTGTTCCCTCCAAATCACTTGTTGAAATTTGATCCTCAGTGGTGGAAGTGGGGCATAGTGGGAGGCACTTGGGTCATGGGAGCAGATCGCTCATGAACAACTTGTTGTCACCCTCAGGGTAATGGGTGAGTCGCTCTATTAGTTCCTGGGAGAACTGATTGTTAAAAAGAGCCTGCCACCTCCATTTTCTCTCTCTCCTTTCTCTTTTGCTTCTAATTTCTTTTGCCACGTGACCTCTGCACATGCCAGCTGCCCTTTGCCCCCATCTCACCGTGAAGTGAAATCCTCACCAGAAGCAAATGCTGGCACCATGCTTCATGTACAGCATGCAGAACTATGAACCAAATAAACCTCTCTTCTGTATAAATTACTCAGCCTCTGGTATTTCTTTATTGCAATGCAAATAAACTAAGAAATGGCCATTTCAGTTCTATGTATAACTGCTTATTCTTACTGGCAAAACTTCCCCTTCCAACCAACTCTGCCCATTAGAGTGATCCAGTTCTGTTGCTGAGAAATCCATTTTTCCCTACATGTGCAATGAATCTTAACCTCTTCAGGAAGAGGAAAGGCAGTTTCCTATTTTCTCTAGAGATTAGGATGTCTCCCACCTCACCCTAATATCCCAATTATATTAGGAGCGTATGTTTTCACAGTTGCACTAGCATCTATTCCACTTTCTTCTTTGTACATCTTTCCCATTTGTTTTACTACCTAATTTACTCTCATCATTCAAGATTCAATTAAACCAATATATTGTGTTGAAATATTATTCTCTCAAGCACATCAGATACTCCTCTCTGAAATTTCTGCATTATGGTGTTGATCAAACTTTTTACCGTATTCTTAAAAGCTGCATTTCCTACAATGAGATGCTTTGTCCAGAAGCCTGGGTCATTAAACTTTAGCATCTAATTAGCAAATTTTCAGTATATGAAGAGTTCGTGATAATTCTTGTGAAGGCCTCAATTCCTAAGAAAAATATGTCACCTATTTTAAAACTTGAATATAGTTTCCATGTTGCATTAGCCAATTAACATGATTTATCTAAATCCGCAGATAATGAAAGAGAGGCACCTGACTCAAGCAATGGATGTCGGAGCAGAAGACTAGAAGGCAAAGCAAGTACATGCTACCTGTCTGGGCAAGACCTTTCAGTGCCTTTCCATATTTCAATGGGTAGTCATCTGCACACCTTCCAGTCTTTTCTTCTGTATTGCAAAGGCTAGAAGCCTTGGTACTATATTTATCAAACTTACTTTTTTTTTTTTTAACAAATCTTCAATGTGATTCTCATTTTGCTAAGATACATTTGTATGAAATTTTGAGATAGAAAAGTATGAATAAGAAAGCATTGCCTTCTTTCTCAGTGGCAGCACACAAACATATGGACTTCACAGACACGACATTTTGCAGCAACTTCTAGATCTTCCCCCTGTGAGTGCCCTGGGACATCATTACAATAAATAAACCATTCAGGAAGTCAAAGGATGGTAGTTTTCACAGAAGCATTGCAAGCATTGAGAAGAAAAATAATCCATATCTAGTAGGTTTATTTTTATGAGGATAAATCTCTGGCCTCTCCATATGGAAAAGGATCTCCTGTAAGTTAATCCTGCCATCAGGTTGCTGGCTGGTTTGCCTGGGATATAAAGCCCTATTAGTGAGCCAGTGGTGACCTTTGCTGCTGTCTGGTTAGATGCGCAGCAGCACTGCAGTCACCCTTTCTGAGGGAAAGTTCACGTTTTGAAGCCTAGGTAGAAATTCTCTCTGTACCACCATGGTTTCACTGAATGTGAGTCAATTGAGGCATCACCAGGGTGGCAAAAAGTTATCAAGTCAAGCCCAGTCAACTCAGAAAATTCATCTCAGAATTCCATTTTACGTCAATTTCCTGGCATAATGTTGAAACACTCTGCCCTTTAGTATCTGGAACAATGTCTAACACAATAATGCTTAACGCCGGGGAAATGAGGGCATAGGTCTGAATCTCCGGAGATTCCTTTTATGGGGAATATCTTTTAACACCCCTTAGGAAACAACATCAACTCACTAAAGACAGTACCAATAAGGTCTCCTGCCTTCCCCAGGAATAAAGATTTAAATCACACCAGCTCAATGCTGGTTGAGGGCAAGGGAACAATGAATGGCTTGTGGAAGGGGAAAGTTAAAAATGCAAATTACAACTTTGTGCCCCATTTAAGGAAAGAGAACTTGAATAGCTATGCATATTTGTGTTTTCTTCCTTGCTTTGTTATGTACATATTTGTATATATCAGCCACTAACTTCTTATCTTTCCTTCATTCTTCACTTACTAATTTACATAAGGTACTGGTAGTTCATATAAATTCATTTTTAGAGACTAAATATAAAAGCAGAATTGCAACTGAACTTAAGCAAGAATCATTATCACCCAGGGCTAGATTTGGTGACTAATAGAAGTTTGGATCTCTATTTTTAGAGGAGGGATTGAGAAAATTTTTGTATGGGGAATAATTCTATTCTATTAGCAAGAATCGTGTTGTTTTTTGCCATTGCTGCTAATTAAAATTTTAAATATTGTCAAAAGTGGTATATATTATGCTCGATTTTTTCCTTTTGGCACCCAGTATATGTTCCCAAACTCTCCTGTGCTCTTTTTGCTATCATGTGAGCTAAAAGCCTGGTAAGTAGATTTTTCAGACTCCTTTGTATTCAGTGTTCAGTGTATGATGCATGTTTTGACTAATGGGTAACTGCATCTTTAATCCATATTGTTATTTAACATACATTGTAATTTCCATACTTGTTTTCAATCTCCCACACTAGAATGGCAATTGTGAAAGCACGGAGGTTTTTTTTCTTTTTATTTTTTGAGATGGAGTCTTGCTCTGCTGCCCAGGCTGGAGTGCAGTGGCGTGATCTCGGCTCACTGCCAGCTCCACCTCCCAGGTTCAAGTGATTCTCCTGCCTCAGCCTCCCGAGTAGACGGTACTACAGGCGAGCGACACCATGCCTGGCTAATTTTTGTATTTTTACTAAAGACGGGGTTTTACTATGTTGGTCGGGCTGGTCTCAAACTCCTGACCTCGTGATCCGCCCACTTCGGCCTCCCAAAGTGCTAGGATTATAGGCGTGAGACACCGTGCCTGGCCACAGAGGTTCTTTCTATCTGGTGCTCAATAATATTTCCTGCATGAATGATTAATAAGTGAATTAATATTAAAACAAAAAAATAAGAAAAGTCAATGACTTTATAGGATTTGCACATTGAAATATTTTAAATTGAACTAGGGTAACTTCAACATGCTAACACATGTTGAGACATGGACATGGTAAATTTTTCAGATCCATAATTTTATAATAATTTTCAAATTACATGAAAGCTTTGCAGCACTCAAAACCAAGGTACAAAAAGAAAAAAAAAATCTTACAATCTCAGATGGTTACCCAAAATAAGAACATTTCTTAAATTTCTGCAAAAATATTGTAAAAATGAAACACATGAATAGAAAAATAATCAGTGATAAAAAGTATTGATTGAGTAGGTTAAATTGATTATTACTAGTATCCATAGTAGAGAAGAAAGATAGTGCTATTCATTACTTGTTATTTTCTTATCCTGAAAGACTAGATGCTCTTTTAGTTTTGCCTTTCTACCCACATCAGAGATATTTCCTCACTACTGGTGTTTGTGTGTATTTTTCCAAGGGAATGATTAAATTCTGGAGGAGAAGGTTCATGTGTTGGTGATTTTTGTGTCTTTCAGGGTATAACTTCTTCTCACACAGTGGGAAAAGATATATTTTTTTAAATTGAAGTAAAACATTTGATGTGCCTAAATAGCTAGCTAGAAATCTTCTGCACATACAAAGTTCAATTTCATAAATTCTATAGTACATTGACTAAAGCTATATAAAAATAACACAAACTTAACTAAAAGAGTAAGCCTTCAAAATAATCCTGATTAATGGATGGACTAATTATTCTTCACTATGGAAGATATTTGATAGCATTCATTAGTCCTTCTCAACAAGTAGATCCTTGCAAAATAATCGTAAGAATCATTTCTTTTAAATTATTTAAATCGTTCTTTAAATTAAAACATATTATACTTGCATTGTCAGTCATTTGGAAACTTTAATAATCAAAATGAATGTCAGATTTTAATGAAAATTAGCCCTCACACCTGTCATCCAAACTTATCATATTTCTCATTTTGACTTGAAAGTGGAAAAAATACACCCTTCTATATCTGATTATTCAGCTTTTGACCTTATTGTATTTAATTATATATTTTATGCTTATTATGAATCTCTTAATGTAGATGAGTTTCTTTTACCCTGTAGTGGCTCATTGAACTGATAGAGTTGACAATTTTTCCCAAAAAAGCATGCATTAAGTGTCATCATAAAATCTAATTTACAGCTGTCCTACATTTGAGTACAACTGCTTTCTACACACTGTACTTAGTTATATCATTTGTTAAATAAATTTGCATGTCATATATGAAATTCTGTTCATGAAATGTATTTCCATACGTCTCAATTGTCAAACTTTTATCTTCATTACCTTGAGATTTCAAAAGCAAAAATCAAAACCTCCTTGGTTTCAGCTTTTTCTAAAGAACAATTTTTGAATAACAATTGTTAGATTTCATATTCTTTCAAAATGGAAAAAATGCATTACTAAAATGGCACATTTTTGATATCAGATGAATGCTCTTATCTGCTATAGAAATACAACTTTATTATTAACATATTTTTGAAATAATTATATACATGTATTTATTATGCTAAATAGCTATTATCTATTATGCTAAGATTTCGTGGGATTTTTATATCGTTATAAAAGTCATTGAATGACACAAATGTTACTTAAAAGGTTTCCACCATCTGATAAATCTATTAGAAAATAGTCTGCAGTAACTGTTAACCCGATTTGCCAAGTTGAGCTCCAATTACTTGCCGTATATTAGAAGCAGCACCAAAGATCTGGTTATTCTGGAAGGATTAGGGAAGACAGAAAAGAATGCCTGCCTGGGAGCAGAAGACCTGGTCTCTAGAATTGGATCTATTACTAATAATTTAAAATTGTGAAGCCATATTTGCTCATCTGCAAAATGTGGAGCATAACTCTTGTTTCCTCGACTCAGGATTATGGTAAGCAGTAACGTATTTATAGTTTACAAAAATAGTTTACAAATACTTTGAGTATCCCTGGAGGACAGCAGGCTGAGGTCTGAAGCCCTGCAAGGGAACTCCATGCAGCAAAGGGTATAGCAAAGTCTGTGGGCGGCTGAAGAGAGCCTTCGATTGGGAAACAGAGAAATGAGACATGCATTCTTAGAATGTGACCTTCATGCTAATTTCCTTTGTCTTTCTTATTCATGTATGCTTCTGACCTATACAAGATGTAACTCCCCATCTTCATATGAAAATCTGAAATCAGAAATCACTGAATATTTCACAGAACTTCTTTACCTCACCATCCACATTGAATCATTTGCCAAGTCCTGTGGATATTATCTCCAGAAAGTTTTGTGTTTTTTTACTATTTATTGTGAACATGTGTATACTAAATCCCATGTTACATTAATATTTTATATCATGATTTAACTTAGTATAACTTAATTTCATCATGTGTACATGTGTAACACAATATTTTTACAGTCTATTGCTCTCTGAGTTCTTCCTATTCTGCCTGAAAAAATTAGTCTCATTCTTTGAGTAAAATATAGAAATGAATTCCTTCCACAAAACAATGTTGTTAGGTATTTTTTTTAAAGTCAAAGTAATTTAAAACTAGAATAGATAAAAACACTTTGTAAAACATCGTTTTTCTTAACAGAGAATATTCATGCACTGTCAAGGGATGAAATAGATGAGCTAATATAATTCTGCATATTTAATTTCTGCAATCTTATAAGGTCTGACAGTTATTAAACAAGTAATTAAGAGGCATTATGCAATTATATTTAACTTGCATTCATATATGATGTTTGATTTAAAAAGTAACTGTATCATGCATGGTTTTCATGATAGACATTTAGAGGCAAATTTCAGGAGACAGTGAGTGTATGAATTTAATACATGACAATTTTTAGGATAGCTTTTATCCTCCACCTAGATAAATTAAATATATTTATAATTAGGACTGTGGTGAAACCCTATTAATTTTTCTTAACTTAAATGCATTAGTCTAAATTTACGATAAAATAATCTTTTGAATTTAAAATTGTTAAGTTAATAACCTTACATTGAAATGTAATCAGTGCCTTAGGATGCATCTATTGAAATTAGTGGAACAGAGTATAACATATTCTAGTCTCTTAGCCTGTTTTAATGATGAAAGCATTTAAGTATATTGTGAGATTTCGATGCTTGAAATTAATTCAGAAGACTATAAAAATAATTGCAATGTAATAATCGAGTTTAAAAACAGGCCGTTTACATTTTTAATATTAATTTTTAATTTGTTTTTTACAATTGCTGTAATGCATTCAGTATCAAACATCTGTAATTGTAGATTTTAATAATTTAGTATATATCATGTGCTAAATTGAAGAATAGCAACAGAAATTTCCATGTTATTTCCTAAAGCCAGTCTTCTGAGTTCCTCAATTCAATCACCACATTTAAAATTTGAGGTTATTTTTATATGTCCCATATGAATTTCTGGACTATGTGTGTCTGTTTTGAACTTTTTCCTCCCCTTTAATTTGGATCTCATTGCCTCTCAATTTTACTCCTGTACCAGCTTCAAAGCTTCTTCTCTTCAATCCACCCTTCCTTTGCCACTTTCTTATTAGAGCTTCACTACTTTTATATCAATCTTTTGCTCTAAGTCTCTTTTAAGCTTTCCTCCCAGCCTTACTGGAAAAAAAAAATTTAAAGTACATAGTATGGCCTTATTGCATCCCCACCCCTCCAGATGCACACAGGCATGGGCACACATACAGACATGAGTCTAGACTCAGTTTACCATAACAGCTTTTCTTCTTGCCATATTTCCCTGTCTCTTCTATGCTAGGAACACTAGACTACTGGCTAATTCCAGCAGATGTTTAAATTTCACCATCACCATGTCTTTACTACCAGGGTCCTAATATTGAAATGTTTTTCTTTCTTCCTCACCCTCTGACCCTCTTAGTCTGTTGAGATTTTGGGTAGAATCAATGGATCAACCAATTTTCCCCAGAGAATCTTTCCCTTATTTTGTAATAAGAATTAATTTTCATCGCTTTGTACTCTTTGTGGCATAGTATTTAGCCTAATCTACCTGAATTAGTACTACCATCAGCATTACTTTCTCCACGAATGTATGGGCATTTGTCACCAGAGAAGATCTCAAATTCAATTTTGTTTCTTCCTCCTTAGTACCTGGAAGAGTTTTCGTTGAGTATAATATCAATGAGCACGTAGTGAAAGAAGGGAGAAGGGGGAAATATGATTTCTTGATTTCTTCCAGTTCTATATTTCCTTCCTGAATTAGTGAATATACACTAATCTGATAATTTACAAAAATTCTCATTATAAGTACACCATATTTGAACAATAAAAAGAACCACATAGCCACTCCTTCCTCTTTTGAAGTTTGGTATTTGTGCAGACTTTTTGCTGACCAATATCATCTTTATATTTGTCATGACTTGGAACATAATGTTTTTAAAAACATAATTCCAATTTTGATTTTAAGTTCAGGAGGTACATACATGTGCAGGTTTGTTACCTGGATATACTGTGTGATGCTGAAGTTTGGGGTATGACTGATCTGCTTACCAGGCACTGAGCATAGTACCCAATAATTAGTTATATAGCCCTTGCCCCCTACTACTCTCAGTCTCTGTCATTGCCATTATTATGCCCATGAGTACCCACTGTTTAGTTCCCACTTATAAGTGAGAACCTGTGGACCACAAGCTTTTAACCACTTTCTGTAACCCTGTCCCATCTAAACTAACCTTACAGATATTCCTCAACTTATTCTGCACAGTATTCAATTCAAAGCCTAGTTTTAGCTGAAGAACCAATGAAAACACTTCTTGTTTTCTCATCCATCTTTTCCTGTTTAATGTTGACCCAAACATTCCTCTACTTGGAGTTTCTTCATTAATTATTTCAAGACACTGTACATTGCGCTTTCACACATTTTACTTTCAGATGGTTCTTGAATTATTTTCTTAACTATATAAATTTTCTACATAGCAGAAGTCAAGTGAAGTTTTATTGTTTCTATATTTATTGCAGTATATGTTAAAGGGAGTACAAACAAGGAAGAAATTTAATAAATGCTTATTAATCTCCAAAATTTGGCTAACCATTGCAAATTTGTGCATGAGATTTAAATGTATTGCTTGATTTATTTGTGATTCTGACTTTATTTTTAAAATCATTATAAAATCAGTTAATTTTTTAAGTTATGTTATTAACAACAATGTCTTATGAAATATAATGATTTCTTTTTTATCTTTAGTGAAGTAATTCCCACTTAACCTGAAAAGAGCCAGTGGTAACTCCAGTTAATAAGAATCCCTGAAACAAATGTACTAGCTTAGAAATGGCTGAATTGAACAGCTTATAGTTCTCACATTAATTGGAAATGTTTCTTCTTTTATTATTGTCAAGTTAGTTACATATGCTAGTAAAATTTTAATATGTTTTTTAAAATTTAAAAAGTAGTATTGACACATGATATTACAACAGAATATTTTGACCAGAAATATTGTGCTGCTGAACCTTAGAGTCTAAAATAAACACACTACTGGTGGCAAAGAATGACTCTATGAAGAGGCAATGATACAGAGTACAATGCAAAAAGATTGGCATTCTGGACTCCTGTGTTTGAGTTCATGGTAAGGCAAACCTACTGTGTGATGTTGGGCAAAGCAATTTTCCACATATGTGGACTACTTATTCTTTATCTTTGAAAATGTGAATAGCAGTTCTTGCCTCATCAGTTTACTAAGAGGGTTACGTAAAGTAACATATATGAAAGCCATTAGCACAATTACACATTTTATAATCATATTTTTAGTGAGTGCTCTCTACCCACCATTTGCTTTTCAGATAATTTCATGCATATTTTATCAACGATTTCCATATTTCATTTTCATAATTTTGTCACACTGAGAAAATAATCTGCATAATCTGTTTCCTACTTGATTTTCTTTAAAATGAACTCACTTTTTCCTTTTTTTCTTGTTCTGTATAATTATGAGTTTCCTAATTTATATAAATAAATATATAGTTACATAAATATAAATGTAATTATATATATTTTTTATATATGTACACATATAGTAGTAGTAATATATTACTATTATAGTATTTTAACAATGCCTTTCCAGCACCAGGTAAACATACCTCATGTACCACTAGTGTTATACTTTCACCGGTTTGAGAAATGATGCCCTATGTACTGTAATTCTTGTCACAACCAGGGGAAAGGAGATAAAGATTCTCATCTTCTTTTTATAAATATTAAAGCAAAGAAAATTTAAGTCACTTTCCTAAAGTATTACTGGGATTTAAAAATTTCTGAGGATTCTTTTAGGGTAATATAGAGGGATACTTGATTTCCCTAGTCAACTTTACTCCAAGCTCCTGCTTTCTTCTCAAATCTTTATTTTTTTCCCATTGACTTATCACCTCCCCATATTACAGTGTATTTTCTCATTTATTTTCTACAAATCCACTAGCACACGGCTGTAGATTTTTGTAGACCTTTAAAGAAAGAGTTATCATTTAAAGAAAGTGCAGAAATGATTATCTACAAGAGAAATATTGAAAATTAGATCTCACTCTTTCTATCATCTCTCAATTTTGTCCATGACAAGTGCTCTGACCCTCATCTAAAACATTCTCTCATCTTTTCTCTTTACCACTTCCTAGTATCCATTATCTCTCTGGAATAGTTAAGAAAAAACTCACAAATAGGTGCCTTTTAGTCTAAAATTCTACTTTAAGAAGCTCCAATAATAAGTTTTACTAACTAAAATTTTCTCTTCCCTGAATTAAATCCCTCTTCTCTAAAGTTTGGGTATTCTGTGACCATTTACTTTTCTTAATTTTTCTTTCTGTTACACTGATATATTATTACCATACAGGATTCTTAAGTTAGTGCAGTGGAATAACCATAAGAAAATGTGTGGAGAAGGTTTTTGCATTACCAAATGCACTTTCAACTGAGAACTATATACATAGATTAAGAAAACAATAGCAAAGCTTTAGAGTTGATTCAAAACAAACAACCTATTTTTGTTCTTCATTACTGAAGAGTTGGTGATGAGAATTGGTCTCTGTATTAGTCGTTTTTCATGCTGGTGATAAAGACATACCTGACACTGAAGTAAAAGAAGTTTTAGTGGAGTTACAGTTTACATAGCTGGAGAGGCCTCACAATCATGGTGGAAGGCAAGGAGGAGCAGGTCACATCTTATATGAATGGCAGCAGGCAAAAAGAGAGAGTTTGTGCAGAGAAATGCCCAATTTTAAAACCATCAGGTCAAGTGAGACTCATTCACTTTGACTAGAACAGCTCAGGAAAGACCCACACCTATAGTTCAATCAACTTCCACCAGGTTCCTCCCACGACACATGGGAATTGTGGGAGTTACAATACAAGATGAGATTTGGGTAGTGGCACAGCCAAACCATATAATTCCATTCCTGGCCCCTCCCATATATCATGTCCCCTCATTTCAAAACCAATCATGCCTTCCCAACAGTCCTCCAAAGTCTTAACTCATTTCAGCATTAACTCAAAATTCCACTGTCCAAAGTCCAAAGTCCAAGACAAGGCAAGTTTCTTTCTCCTATGAGCCTGTAAAATCAAAAGCAAGTTAGTTACTTCCTAAATACGATGGGGGTACAGGCATTGGGAAATTACAGTTATTGCAAATGGGAGAAATTGGCCAGAACTAACGGGCTATAGGGCCCATTCAAGTCAGAAATTCAGCAGGGCAGTAAAATCTTAAAGCTCTAAAGTGACCTCCTTTGACTCCATGTCTCACATCCAGGTCACAGTGATGCAAGAGGTAGGTTCCCATGGGCTTGGGCAGCTTCACCCCTATGGCTTTGCAAGGTACAGCCTCCCTTCCAGGTACTTTCACAGGATGGCATTGTGTGTCTGCAGTTTTTCCAAGTGAATAGTGCAAGCTGTTGGTGGGTCTACCATGCTGGGGTCTGGAGGACAGTGGCCCTCTTCTCACAGCTCCACTAGGCAGTGCCCTGGTAGGGGCTCTGTGTGTGGGATCTGACCCATATTTCCCTTCTGCACTGGCCTTGCAGAAGTTCTCCATGAGAGCCCTGCCCCTGCAGCAAACTTCTGCCTGGGCATCTAGGGTTTTACATACATCCTCTGAAATCCTAGGCAGAGGTTCCCAGATCTCAATTCTTGACTTCTGTGCACTTGAAGGCTCAACACCACATAGAAGTTGCCAAGGCTTGGGACTTGCACCCTCTGAAGCCATAGTCTGAGCTCTATGTTGGCCCCTTTCAACCATGGCTTGGAGCAGCTGGGACACAGGGCACCAAGTCCCTAGGCCGCACACAGCATGGGGACCCTGGGCCCAGCCCATTCCTGGGCCTCTGGGCCTGAGATGGGAGGGCCTGTCGTGAAGGTTTCTTACATGCTCTGAAGACATTTTCTTCATTGTCTTAGAGATTAACATCTAGCTCCTCATTACTTATGCAAATTTCTGCAGATGGCTTGAATTTCTCCTCAGAAAATGGGTTTTTCTTTTCTATCATTTGTCAAGATGCAAATTTTCCAAACTTTTATGCTCTGTTTCCCTTTTAAAACTGAATGTCTTTGAAAGCACCCAAGTCACGTCTTGAATGCTTTGCTGCTTAAAAATTTCTTCCATCAGATACCCTAAATCATCTCTGTCAAGTTCAAAATTCCACCAATCCTAGGGCAGGGGCAAAATGCTGCCAGTCTCTTTGCTAAAACATAACAAGAGTCACCCTTGCTCCAGTTCCCAACAAGTTCCTCATCTCCGTCTGAGACCACCTCAGCCTGGATTTCATTGTTGAATATCATTATCAGCATTTTGGCCAAGGCCATTCAACAAGTCTCTAGGAAGCTCCAAACTTTCCCACATTTTCCTATCTCCTTCTGAGCCCTCCAAAAACTGTTCCTCCCTCTGCCTGTTACCCAGGTCCAAAGTCACTTTTACATTTTTGGGTGTCTTTTCAGCAGCGCCCCAATCCCAGTACCAATTTATTGTATTAGTCCACATTCATGCTGCTGATAAAGACATACCTGAAACTGGGAAGAAAAAGAGGTTTTAATGGACTTACATTTCCATGTGGCTGGGGAGGCCTCGCAATCATGGTGTAAGGCAAAGAGGAACAAGTCACGAGTTACATGGAGGGGAGCAGGCAAAAAGAGAGAGCTTGTGCAGGGAAACTCCCATTTTAGAAACCATCAGATCTTGTGAGACTCATTCAGTATCATGAGAACAGCATGAGAAAGACACACCCCCATAATTCAATCACCTCCACTAGGTTCCTTCCATGATAAATGAGAATTGTGGGAATTACAATTCAAGATGAGATGTGGGTGGTGATGCAGACAAACCATATCAGCCTGGGTTAAAATAAAAATGGCGATGGTTTAGTCTGGAGTCTTTGTTTTGTCTAATTTGCTTCTGTCTCATGTCCGTCCCTCTAGCCTGGAGTTCCTGCTTCCTACTTCAGGACTTTTATTATGAATTATTTCAATAGAGAGGCCTCATGATCACAATAGTTAAGTTTTGAATCCCTGCAGTTGCAAGGTTGCAAAAATAATACAATATTTTTGCAATTTTAAAAGCATTTAGTACTGAAATATCAACTATTAAATTACTTCCTATTTACATATTCACTTTTCCCTTTCCAACAGAGACATGTACACATAAGTTCAGGCAGTTATCCCTGGAAATCTCCTGGTAGTTCTTGAATGCTGTAAACATCTCAGTGTAAAATGCAAATATAAAGAAGAATGATTACAAAGTGAACTTGTATATATCTTGGCAAAGATGAAGAATTTCATGAAGCTAATAATGTGAGATGTTAAGCAAAATTTTTCATCATTTAAAGCCATTGAAGATTATGCACCTGGCAGTGTCTATGAGTTTAAAATTGAAAGGACTACTGTCAAAGATAATGATAAAGAGCTTGTGAAAGTGATCTATTTAAATATCAACTAATAATGAGAGACCTGTGAGAAAACTGATAAAGTACTGAATTATTTTTATTAATAATAACCCTTTTTTGTAATCTTTCTTTAGAAGCCAAACATGAAGACCATTCTATGATGCCATTTATGCAAATAAACTATTAACACTTTAATCATTTCTAACAGTCTAAAACTCAGTATATAATACAAAACAACATCAAATTTGAACCCCTTCTTAGCTATTCAACCAATTCTACTTTCTTTTCCTTTCTTTTTTTTTTTTTTTTTTTTTTTTGAGACAGGGTCTCACTTTGTCACCCAGGCTGGAGTGGAGTGGTGTGATCTTGGCTCACTGCAGCCTCCACCTCCTGAGCTCCAGCAATTGCCCACCTGGGCCTCCCAAAGTGCTAGGATTACAGGTATAAGCCACCATGCCCACCCTACTCAATTCTTAATACAATAATGTAGAGGCAATGGCAAAATAAAAGAAAGAAGATAAAAGGGAGGAAGGAAAAGGGAGGAAGGAAGGAAAAGGAAGGAAGAAAAAGGAAGGAAGGAAAGAAGGAAGGGAGGGAGGGAGGCCGGGAGAGACAGGATTTACATTAAAATAACAGAGCCTAGAATTAACTATTACAATTTAATTTACTACTTTCCATATGTAGTTTCAGAAGTCATTTTCTGCTGAGAGATATCATTTAGTAAGGTGTAAGTTCTATCTTTAGGCAAACATTAAGAACTGTAATTGTAGGTAGAATGAAAGTAGCATTACTTCTATATATTATTTCCACCTTACAGAAAACATACATATTACTACTATCACTGTTACTTCCATTAGTTGAACAGAATTACTGCACTGGTATCAAGTTTATTAAAGTAGATGCTAAGTACAAATTTTCAGATGGAGTGCCTAACTCAGAGTAGAAATTCAAAAATTTCAGTTAATTCTCCCTTGAAGATGGCCGAACACTTAACAGCTTACTTGTTCCCATGAATGAAATAGATTGAGTACATGGGTCAATTTTAAGCCATTGATTACTCAAGATAGAGACCATTGTTGGTCTATTTCCTCCCTCTTTCTCTCCGCTCAATTTTCAGAAGAGGAAATTTTTACAGTGTAACACAGAATTATACTTTATGATTTGTGATGTCGTTTTAAAACTGACTGAAATGTTACTATGACTCATGCCGACTTTTCATGGATTGTGTTTTAGAGTTTGAAATGAGTGTCAGCAGAGGATGTGGAATTTCCTTTACTTAAAAAAGGTAAAAACTGAAAACATAAAGGCTTTTGAACTCTGATAAAAAGAAACTGCAATGATGAATAAATATATGCATTTATATACACATATGTAAACACACATAAAATACATGTAAAAATTATTATTAATTTAGTCTATGTATACTTAGAAATAAAAAGCAAAAAAAAAAAAAAGTCCATCTTTTCTTCTTACCATCTGTGTGTTAGGTGGCAGAAGGCAAGCTGGCCCAATCACCATTTCTGAGTAAATGGTCTTGAGTAAATTTGCCTCTTTGCTAAAGAAACTAGGATCCACTTCTCACTGTTGCTCACCACGCAGTCAGAACTTATTATAAGTAATATTGGATAGATCTGGGAGGACATCCAGATGGATCTGGGAAGGCATAAGCAACTCTACATTTTAGAAATTCCTCTCCCCAACTGACCTGTGAAGTCACTGGCTAATGAGTTTATTATTTCATACCACTTTAAGAGCTGCTTGGTTCTATGTTCACTTTTGAGTATGATGGAGTAGATTGAGGCAGACCATTTCTCTCTCTAAGAAAAAACAGGAAAGCCAGATAAATACCAAAAGAACTCCCTTACCATTACTTTTCACATTTGACTTCTAACTTCACTTGTACATATGATTTTTCTTTCTAATATAACAAAGTTGAACAATTTGTGTATATCCCCTCTAATTTATTTTTATATGACATAATTTCACCTAATGAAAAAAACAAATTGATTTTTTATTTAAACAATCACTTTGGCATATTAATATCAGATTGGAAACAGAAGCACTTATTTTAAAAAATTTAATAGCGTTTTGTTGGGATACATATTCTACTCCAAAGAGTAGAATTTTAAGAGCAGAATTAAGAAGCATTAAAAATGATACATAATATCAACATGCCTGTAATTTTTTTGTTGTGTAGTTGGCGCTGCAAAAAGAGAAAAAAAAACACTCCATCTTCCTTCACTGACAGTCCTTTTTAACCAGGTGTCACAAACAAGCATTGCTATCAGAGTGCTGAGTTTGCTGAATACAGAAAATGTTTCTTTAAGGTACAAGTAATATACAATGAATCTGCTTGATAAACATGATTGCCTAGTCAAAACTGCATTCTGCCGGAAAGTAAATGTACTTAATATGGCTACCCAATTGAAAACATTTGCAGACTGCATCAAGGAAAATTATAAATATCTGACATCACTTGGGATGCAGTTGATTATATTTGTGGGCAGCATTTTTATAGAATTTATATTACATCAAAAGTGCTGACAAAACCAACATTTTACACTATTGAAAAAATTATAAGACTGTTCTGTGGCAAAGTATGATTGATGAGCCCATTAACTTAATATATGTTTTTAGTCAAACAGTTTCTTTTGAAACTATATTGCTATATCCTGTTTTTAGGTATTCTTAATAATGTTAAATTAAAGTCATTTTTGACTTTGATGAAGGAAAAAGTGATGTTAAGAAACTGTTTTTAGTCAAATTATTTTAACAAGACATATAAAACCCGATTTCTATAAGTCTCAGATGATTAAACATACTTTTTCTCCTATTTAGTCCAGAGAAACCAGAAAAACTGCTGATATTTTCATCTGACTGTCCAGCATGTAAGCTTAGGTTAAAAGTTCCGTTTTCCCTTGATACCTATTCATATTGAATTTTGAATAGCCTTCTTCAATAGCGGTTTTTTGATAGATGTCAATGTCTTTACCCTTGGCTCTGATGTTTCAGAATTGCTTCAGTTAGTCTGAGTCCTCATGATCTCCCACTCTGTGGGCCACTTTGTATACACTAGACTCTAGACCAAAGCAGAAGCATTTTTACTGCTTTGATTCAGTAGAATCAAGAAAGACTATATTTCTTTTCCTTTTCTTTCCTAACCTTTAGCTTGAAAACCAGGGGACTTTTACACAGCACTTTACAATTGTTTGAGTTTCATGAATTCTCAACCAGTGGATGAAACTGGATTGAGCACTGATTTGATTGATTATTGCCCTGGAAATGCTTGAGTCCTTATGATTGTTCATCAGGAGAAAAATGTTAAAAACAAGCTTGGTCTCTAATAAGAGATTTGAGGACAATCAGAGATAACATTCTTAAGACCTGTTACCTGTATTATTTGGGGGATTTATGATTGATCTCTGCTTCTTGATATCAGAAAGGACTAACAGTGTTAACTCAGATAGTTTTCCTGTGATCACATATAGGAGTAGGAAATACTTTTAGTTAATTGATTCATAAGTTTTCTATTATTCAAAATTTCTTTTTAAATATTCCTGTCTTCTTAAAGACTCTTTTCTCTCTATCTCATCATTTCCACACAAGTTTTACATGAAATCCCTGCACTTCTATGCATTTTTTTAAAAAGGGGTCTTTGAATATGTCATGTTGACACATGTATGTTCCAGACGATTAATATACAAGCATTGACAAATATTTATTATTTATCATTACACCTTTATAGTTAGGAAATATTTTAATTTAAAGTAATAAAAAATACTCTGGTGATATGAAATATCCTGATCACACCTCACACATGGAACAATTATAAAATAATTTTTACTAAATACTTAAAAATCAGTATTTTTATGGCAGTCAGGCTCAATAAAAGTGCACAGCACTTTAGAAAATCAAACCCTTGAAATAAAGGAAGTAGACTGGGTCTAATTGCTTGTCACTATTTTGCCTGAGGGTAGACCTCAAAATCTTAGGTATAGCATATTAAATTAAGTAGTCTTAATTGCTCCGTGTGTCCAAATACAAAGTTCAGGGTTAGTACAGTAACTTTTTTAAAAGAAAAATAAAACTGAAATGAGAAGAAATCCAGACAAATGAGAAACATAGATGTGGAGTTCTAACATTTGTTTGTAAGCTTTGCTCAGATCGTCAGTTGATTATTGAATTATGCCTCTGGGAAGGAAACTCCAGAGCATATATTGATAACAGCATCTAGAATCTAAAACAACTAAGTGGAGATTTCTAGTGTATACTGCTCTAGAGAGAAAGGAGAGTTAAGAGTCAGAGTCTCAGACAAATTAGTAGCCTCCTAGAACAAAGATCAATCCTCCTCAAAGCAAAACAGTTAAATGCAGGGCATCTAAAACAATACTCTTCAAAATACTTATTGTAAGACAAAAAATCAAGTATATTCAAGTGTTTAATTCTATATAAAGTCTCACATTTTTCTCTCTAAGTACATCATGATTAAATATGCATATTGAAATGCCAAAGAAAACATAACTCATACCAAAAAAGTCATTAGATACAGATCCCCAGATGATCCAGATGTTGGAAAAATCAGAGGTGCCATTTTAAATATGTTCACAAACATGAAAAAAATATGGTAATAAACAATTAAAATAAGGACTTTCATCAGGCAACTATCGATAATAAAAATAAAAACAAATGGACATTCTAGAATGGAAAAGTACAATCAGTGAAAGGAAAACATGACCAAATAAGCTTAACAGCAGTATTTAAGAATACAAAAGAGTAGGTCAATGAAGTTGAAGAGATATCAATAGAAATTATACAATCTGATCCACAGAGATTTGTGACCAAAGGACAAAAATTAGGTGGTCCACAATCTATATGACTAAAAACCTGGAAGATGAAGAGAGAAAAAGTAAATAGAAAATGTATTTGAAAAAATAATAGTAGAAATTTTTCCAAATATGTTGTATAATTTCTAGCTAAGTTTGAAGAAGCAAAGTGACTGCTAAACAAAATAAAAGAAAGAAAACCGAACCTAAAATTTCATACCAACAGTGATAAAATGCAAAGACAAGAAAGTAGCCAGAGAAAACTGGCAGGTTTCATATAGGGAAACAATGTGTGAGGCTGATCTCTCATAAGAAAAGCAATTGGAGGCTAGAAAGAAATGGAGCAAAATCCTTAAATTGTTAAAATAATATAAAAGTATCAATCCATGAAATCTATAGTTAGCAATTCTGGTCTTTAGGTGAAGTGGGAATAAATGCATGCTTAGATGAAAGAAAACAGAGAATTATTTTCCAGAAGATTTACATTACAAAGAATGACCAAAGTGTGTTCACTGGGCTAAAGTGAAGTAGCTTCAGATGCAAACTCAGATCTCTAGTTATCAATAAAGAGCACAGGAAAGAGTAAATATGTGCAGAAGATAGCTATTTCTAATTTTGTAAAAGATATATGACTGCTTAAAGCTAAAATCATTACACAAATTGCAGAGCTTATACAAATAACATAATACAGAGGAGGTCATCTGAATGATGCAGTTACAAGGTTCATATATTCTATATAAAGTCTCACATTATTCTCTCTAAGTACATCATGATTAGTTAAATATGCATGTTGAAATGCCAAGACTCAATCACTAAAAATTAATTAAACCAACAAAATGTGGGAAATGAGGAATGGAGGAGCAAAAATAGAACAAAGAAAAGCAAATAGTAAATGGAAGATAAAAATTCAACTATATCAATAATTCTATTAATTAGACTAAACAGACTAAACATTCCAATTAAAAAGCAGAGAATACCAGCCTGGATTTTAAAAAGAAGGAGGGAAGGAAAGATGGAAGGGAGGGAGGGAGGAAGGAGGGAAGGAAAGAAAAGGAAAGAAAGGAAGTCCAACCATATGTTGTCTATTACAGAAACACTTCCAACGCAAAGACACAGAAACAAAGGAAAAGGATATTCCATGAAAACACTAATTATACATAAGCTCTAGTGACTACATTACTACCAGACTATGTATACTTTGATGCAAAAACTGTTACCGGAAATAAAGTGGGAAATAGCATATGTTAATAGGATCAACTAATCAGTAGATTAAATATTTATAAGTGTGTATGCAAGTAGTAGATTTTCGTAAATCATGACAAAACGGAAGGAGAAATAGGCAAATAAACAATCATAGTTGAAATTTTAGCAAAACTCTCTCAATATTTGGTACAATAGACCAAAGAAATTAATAAGAATGTAGAATATCTAAACAGAAAAATCAACTACCTTGACATAATATTTACACAATGTTATGCTCAGCAATTATAGAATACACATTTTATCAAAGGCACATAAGATTTTTACCTAGATAGATAATATACTGGACCATAAAAAATAGTCTCAATAAATACAAAAAGACTAAAATATTTTTTAAAAAAGATATTTTATGGTGACTTTAGACTTAAATCAAAATGGGTAACAATGTTATATCTACAAAATTGCCAAATGTTGAGAAATTAAACCATACAACGAAAGCAGTACTCACAGGAAAATTTTTAGTTTCAAGTGTTTATATCCAAAACAATGTTTTAAAATATTGATCTAGATTTGTTTTTTAGAAAGCTGGAAAAAAAAGTAAAACAAAGGAAGTAAATTAAAATGAATAATAAAGAGCAAAAATCAATTGCATTAGAAAAATAATCAAAAAATTTACAAAACTCAAAGGTGCTTCTTTAAAAGTATTAATAAACTTAAAAACACATAACAAAATGGATCTATAAACAAAAAAGAGATAAATTTCTAATATCAGAAATTAAAAAAACAAAATAGAACCTCTATATATCAAAGTAATAAAATATGTACAACTTTATACTAGTAACTTTCACATTTAAGATAAATTAAAAATTATCTTTAAAAAATTCAACCTACTGAAATTGACACAAAAATTTACTTTGTTATTAAGTATTTGTAACAAACAAAGCTCCAGATTATATGTAATGATTAAGAAGAAACAGAGTCAAGTTCGTACATACTCTTTCAGGAAAATAGAGGAGGAGAAAACAACTCCTAAATAATTTTCTGAAGATAACATATCCCTTATTCTAAAACATGTCTCAGATATTAGAAGAAAAAAACTTATTGACAATCACCTTATAAGCCTCGATGTGAAAATACTTACAAAAATATTAGCAAATTCAACACACAGATATATTACACAAAAATAATATTTTATGAATAAAATAAGTATATTAAGGATATAATTTAAGATTTAAATAATAATATCAATCATAGTGATATTGCTATCATTGCTATCAATTATTTTAAGGTTATTTTATTTAAACAGAATTGGCTGCCTATTCAATAGACTTTATTTTTTTGAGAAGTTTTAGGTTCACAGCAAAATTGAGCAGAAAACTGCTACTTTTTAAAGAGGCAGAAGCAATTTCAAGCAAAGTAAGGATTTAATATTAACATATGCAATACATTGACTATTAATGATTTTTACGGGTAGTAGAATGGTTTTCCCCATGTAATTAACATTCAGGATTAGTTGAGACAGTGTTACTTCCTCAAAAAACCCAACTGAAAACTTTAAGATATGTGAAAGATGCTTTGAGAAGTGCAGTGTGATACAAGAAATGAATGCTATGAAAGAGTTAACAGGATTCAGATAGGAATTGATAAGTCCCATGGAAAGGGTGATAGAATGTCAAGTACGCATTCATTGGAGTTCTCGCTATATTTCTGTAGCACGATTAGTAAAGTTCCCAGATTCCTGAATACTGAGAATAAAATATGGGACCTGAGCTAAGGTCTGGAGCCTTTGATACAGTGAAAGTAAAAGCGGCCTGGTGTGATGGCTCACACCTGTAATCCTAGCACTTTGAGAGGCCAAAATGAGAGGATTGATTGAGCTTAGGAGTTTGAGACCAGCCTGGGCAATGTAGGGAGACCCCATCTCTACAAATAATTCAAAAATTAGCAAGATGTTGTGACATGCATTTGTGGTCCCAGCTACTTGGGAGGCTGAGGTGAGAGATCCCTTGAGGCCAGAAGTTCAAGACTGCAGTGAGCTGTGATTGCATCACTACACTGCACCCTGGGAGAAAGAGTGAGAATCTGTCTCAAAAAACAAAATAAAAATAAATAAATAAATAAAATAAAAGCCAAAATCTCAATTCTAAATTGGCTTCATGAGGGTAAATTATGGACTTTTATAAAGAAAAATATAGCAAGAAGAAAAATAAAACAACTATATGAAGTTAGATACGTGCATAAATTGTCTGACATTTGTATAATGAATGACTCTGCTTCATCACTTTAATAAACCCTAAACTCCGTTGTTTCAACATCAATCATTCATTCATTTCAATATACTCCTCATAAGTCAATGGAACTTAGCACAGTTCATCCCGACATACATAAGTATGTATACATTCAAGAGGTTAGTCGGAGTCAGTCAGCCATTTTTATTCAACATTACAGTTCATCTTGGCTGCCCTCCCAAACTTATTCAACAGTTATTAATTGTGGCTTCCTATATATCCCTTTAGGAAAAGAGATCTGGTCAGAAACACTAAATGGCTTGCCTGGTCTTAGAGTAAATTGAAAATTCTCAATATGGCATTTATTAACTTTTATAAACAAACATAACTTTTTAAACATTTACCTTTTACCAATTTCCTCCAGTCTTCTGCAGTAGACAATTTACTACTTGATAACTTCTGAAAATGTTTGCATGATTATTTTTCTCCATGCCACAGTTCATGATTTTATTCTTGGTGTTCTCTGTAAACGGTGAGTAAAGGGACCGAATCAGGCTTCAGCTCCAGCTGAGGTACAATCTCTTTCATGATAACATTTTCAGCCTCAGAGATTCCCCAGATGAAATATATATTCTCTATGCTCAATGTATTAATCTATTCATAATGCTATAGCAAAATAACTGAGACTGTGGCTGGGTAATTTACAAACAGAATAAATTTATTGTTCACAGTTATGGAAGCTGAGAAGTCTAAGATTGCAGGGCCAGATGGTTTGGTGTCTGGTGAGGGCCCAGTCTCCGCTGCCAAAATGCTGTTGTATTAGTCCATTTTCACACTGCTCTAAAGAAATACCCGAGACTGTCTAATTTATAAGGAAAAGAGGTTTAATTGACTCACAGTTCCAAATGGCTGGGGAGACCTTAGGAAACTCGCAATCATAGTAGAAGGTGAAGGAGAAGCAAAGGCATGGCTTACATGGTGGCAGGCAAGAGAAATGCAGAGCGAAGGAGTACAGAATCTCTTATAAATCCATCAGATCTCATGAGAACTCACTCATTATCAGGAGAACAACATGGGAGAACCACCCCCATGATCAAATCACCTCCCATGAAGTCCCACCTACAACATGTGAGAATTAGAAATCAGATTACAATTCAAGATATTTGGATGGGGCCTCAGAACTAGACCACATCATTCCACACTTGGTCCCTCCCAAATCTCATCTTTCTCACGTTTTAAAACACAATTATGCCTTCCCAACAGTACCCTAAAATCTTAACTCATTTCAGCATTAACCCAAAAGTCCAAGTCCAAAAGGTGTCTTGTTGCTATGTCCTCCATAGGGGACGACAAACACTGTGTCCTCACATGGTGGAAGGTGGAAGGGCAGAAGAGCCTAGCCAGTCCCCTCCTTTTTAAGGCTCTAATCCCATCCATAAGGATGCAACTTTCATGGCCTAATCACTGCCAGAAGGCTCTACCTGTTAATATTAGTGTATTTGGGATTCGGTTTCAACATGGATTTTCAAGGGGATACAAAAATTTAAACCACAGCACTCCATGCTGAAGTTTGGAGGAATCCTTAAATAATATCGTTACGTCTTTAAAATATAAGTTGAGTATCCCTTATCCAAAATTCTTGAGACCAGACGTGTTTTGGATTTCAATTTAAAAAATTGGGAATATTTGCATTAAACTTACTGGTTCAACATGCCAAACCCAAAATTCTGAAATCGAATATGCTCTAATGAGCTTTTCCTTTGACCATCATATTTCTGCTCAAAAAGTTATAGATTTTGGAATTTTTTGGATTTCAGATTTTTGAATTTGTCATGTTCAATCTGTAATGCCACTTTTCTCAATCTAAGTTTGGAACTCAAAGAGAGATAGACACTGGAGTTATTCAAATGTATGTAAAAATGTCAACTTTGCTACTACTAACAGTCTGTGTCTTTAGATGGGTAAGCCAAGTAGGATCAACCATTGAATAAAAAGATGCAAACAGACACTGTATTGTAATATATCTCTTATTGTCTAGTTAGTATTACCAAAAAGTTACTTTAATTTTCCAAGGATAGTTCCTCATTATTTAACATCTATTATTTTACAAAACAGCAATAAATACTTATCCTCATCTTAACTATCAATATATAAATATATTCAGTATTCACTTCTTTGGAATACAACCTTGAGTAAAAGAAAAAGAATAGTAAAAGTTAAGTAATTCAGATTCAGAATATTTCCATTATTCCATTCTTCTCTTTCTATCAGAATCATTCTTTTAATATTTCTATGACAATAGACATAGTTTCCTATTTCAACCCTTATCTTCTATGTTTGTTGTCTATGAATCGAAGTTGAAGGAAGGCTTTGGTAAGATGAGGTTAAAACGTCCAGAAAAATAAATAGTTTTAGTATAAGTGTATATACTTATATTAAATGACCTCATTACATGCTAGGCTACTATGTCTTAAAGAATACAACTGTAGATAAGAGAAACACAATATCTACCTTCATAGAAATTAAAGACTAATGTAAAATACACATGTAAACAGGCAACAGCAGTATTGTGAAGTTAAGTAAAGAATTAGGGGAGTTATAGAGTGCAATGTGAACACTTGAAAGGTGGTTACTTAATCCTCAGGAGAATTTGTTCCTTTTTTATATGGTTTATTCTCTCATTTGACTACTGCCGTCATTTGGAATAAGAGAGATTAAAGAACAGTTTTCTGAAGTAAGTTTATTTTCTTTGTGTATTCTATTCTAACTACTGAAATAGTCCCTGGAAGAACACTCATACAGTACTTAGCCATTCTTTAAACATTCATTTTAATCTAGTAAACCTCCTATGAACCACTCGCTTCAACACCAGTCTCATACTAAGCAGAACAAATGCCACATTGGTCACTGTTCTTTTGAGACACTACTTATCTTACACAGCTTTTAGTTTCTAATGTATTGTACTTAATGTTAAGTGCTGTGTAGCCCAACGATTGAGAGTACAAACTTTATCTTATTACTTTTAATAACTAAAAGGCAGGTGCTTGAGTTTGAATCCTAACTCTGTCATTAACTAGCTTGAATTTAGGCAAGCTTTATTTTCAAAAACTTCTCCAGGCCTACCTAGCTTGGAGTTACAACGGAAGGCATGTCACCACTAAATGCTAGAATTTTTATTGATTTTGAGCTCCCACTTGATCAATTAGTAGAACACATTGCATGTTTCCAGACTTTACTTTTTATGATAATTCTAAGAAATTCTAGGACATTTACACATATCTGAAATCAACTACAGCTATCATAATCACTTGCCAGTGGAGAAAAAAATTCCAAAGTGACCCTAAAGGGTGTTGGATTCCTGAACATTTCAGTTAATGTTAGTTTTCTCCATACATATGCTGCCTACTACCTGCAGATGCTACCACTTTTAAGCCTGCCTGAACAAGAAATGTCAATGAGGTTCTTTAAAGCAGAGAATCAGTTCCCAATCTCTCAGAATGAAGAAACAGAAAAGAATAGGGATAATGAACATTCAAATAAAATTCGTTGATCCCCTACATGTCACTGCCATTCAACAATAATGTTCTTCTTGCCACTGGGACTCGCTGGTCAGAAAGCCATGTAATTCCCAGAGACAGGGGTTCTAACCAATTCACACAGTCTTGATGATCCCAAAGCCATTGCTGCTAATGCCATCTGTAAAGTCAGAATCTACAGGGTAAAATCTGAGGTCCATACAGATATGTTTCTCACCAAGGTATGTATATAAATGAAGCTGGTTTTGGCTGCAAATACTAAAACACTCAAACTAAAATGAGTTAAATATTAAGAGGACTTATTACAAAGCCTGGGAATAAAATTGTTTCTGCTTTTGTCAATTTAGGTTCTCTATATCATGATCAAGGGTCCATATTCTTTTCACTTTTTTTCTGGTGATTCATTCTCAGCACATTGGCTCTCTCTCATTTTGCTGAAAAATGGTTTAAGAATCCCCAGGCATTCTAATCTCACACACTAATGTCTGGAGTCAGATCATTTTTTTCTTAAGTCTTACTTATGACCTAATTAACCATTTCACCACTAGGAGATTTAAACTCCTCATTGGCTAGAATTGAGACGTAAGGACATGCCCATATCAAATAAAAAATGTTAAATATACATATGGCCATGAGTATTTTATAGCAAGGCAAAATCTACTACTATTATTTATTAATGAATCTCTCAGGAACACTTTGTGATCTACCAAACAGTTGTCTGTTTTATCACTCACAGGTTCTGTTGTGAGAGTTTATTATATTATGATTTTACTATAATTTATCCTTATGAAGATTTAAAGTTTTTAAATAATTTCTGTGGATATTTATTAATAATTTTAGTCATTTAATTTCTCCATAATAGATCCATTTACTTCAAGAAATTATACCAACTTTACCCATAACTTTGAGCAAAGGAAAAAGAAAAAAACCTGCCCACTGATACCACTCATTGACAACATGGCTAATTGTTTATTAAACTTAAAGCATGGTAGTTCAAGTGGGTCATGACCCAGTTTAATAACATGTAAGTTTTGGATATGCCTTTCACTTTGGTTGGACTAAATAAAATTGATTATTTCACCTGAATGTGGTGTCTCAGAGGACAGATTAGTTGAGTGTATTTAATGAGTCCTATTGGACAGTGGAAGGAAACAACAGTTTTGAAGAGCATCTAGGTTATTACATACTAAATTTAGTTTTAGTTAACATTGAAGAGGATGATTTGTTATTATTCATGTATGTATACTAATTATAAGAACCCCTTGCTAATAGAAACAGCATTATACTTTGGAATGTGTGTTTGTATTTACAGCTAGCCTTACAGTAAATATCCTTGAATGTGGTTGTTAATCTTAAAGAAAATATTTGATAATTTTAGAGAAGCCTACCACTTCAGCTACAGATCCATGCCTTCATTATTGATGAGTATAGCTTTATAGTAGGTTTAGTGAAAGAGCTTTAGGTATCATTATTTTAATAGCATCACTTTTCTAAAGAAGGTACATTTAGCAATGTGAAATGTTAGTGATCATGGGTCTCCTCTCTACTGAGGATAGAAAAGTTATCTTCTTTCATCCGAGACACTGAAAGTGCTTAGAAGACATTATCTCATTATCTCTATAACATCCTCTGACAGAATTGGCTTGTAGTATAATTCCCATTTTATTGGTGGATAAAGTCATGTACATTATGGTTTTATAATTTAGCTAGGCAGTTGGTCTGCCCTGGCAAGAGAGCTTTCAGCTTTACTTCATCTTGAAAATTTGTCTCATTTATGTCTTCACATTTCTAGTGCAGACATGACCTTAATGTTCCCAGAAACCAAGTATTTAAGTGGTCATTTGTCCAATGACTCTTTTTCTCCCTGAAGAAATGTTGCCAAATTTTACTTTATTTCATTTTGACATGAAGGAGAAATGAATAACATTTTGGATAACTGATAGAAATAGATTTGAGTCATTTTTTAGATTAAAATAAATAATAGAACTCCAGAAGTATCTTTTTCATTGTGTTAAATGGTTTTGACTACTTTAAAATGGTTACTTTAAAATGTTTAAAAGCACAGCTTTTAAAGGGTGAAAGATTATACGAACTGAAGAGAAACCAGAAGATAAAATGCATAACTTTTAAAAAGCAACCTCATGTAATTCTTTATCAGACATGTGCAAGTTAAATCCATGATACATATACTTCTTGTACATTATTCCCCTACAAGGCAATGAAAAATATATAAAATTTTGTCTAAGAAATAGACTAAAGCCATGATGACATAAGAAGTTTAGCTGGCAGAAGCATGCCAACTTAATGGAAGCCATTTCAGTGACTCAAGACAGAGGACTGTAACGTCCTTTATCAAGTTTTGCAGTTTTTCTATTTTTTTTTCAACTAGAAGTAAAAGATGGGCAAATCAAAAATATGGTTTTGTAATGCACAGGTTTACAACAGATATGAGGGAATTTGTGGAAATCTGAATCATGAAATTTCCGGGAATGATCAGAGAGACTTGATAGTTCATATTAGATTAGCCCTATTAATAGGTACATAGTACGAGGGATAAGAGAATGAGTAGGGAAAAAGAGAACATGGAGCTTTAATTATTATTCTATGTATCTTTCTTGTCTTACTATTAAAAGGAAATGTATTAAGTGTCTTTTTTATCTGAGGTCTACTTTAGAAACTGGATATATACAATTGTGTTTCAAACGTGAGCCTGTCCTTCAAATAATTATATATGAATATTACTATAAAAATTAAAAGCAATACCTAGAAAACAGAGTGAAACAAAGCATAGATCAACACATAATTTTTGTACTTCGAATATTTTTCTCCTTAGCAGAGTTCTCACAAATCTATTATGGCTCAAATAAGGGCTGTTGCATGCTCCAGTATGATAGGAAAATGTGAAATGGAAAAGGCAAAAGACATTTTGTTCTTTAAAACTAATGTTGGAAAACAAACTTTATGATGAAAGCTCTGGACCTCACTAATGTATGAAAAACAACTTCTAAAAGATGTCTGATTTTGACAGATAAATTATAATTGAGTTCTAAAAACTGAAATTTTGATCTATTATTAGAGAAATGATATTAATATTTTCAGTGCGTGATGATGATTATAATAGATCCTTTTTCTACTCTAGAGAGCCATCTAAATAAAGTCCTAGTTTCAAAAGATTATAAAGTTTATTTCACAATGAGAACCATTCAATATAAAAACAGACAAATAGATGCATGGAAGAGAATAGAGAACTCAGAAATAAAGCTGAAGACCTACAACCATCTTATCTTTGACAAACTCAGCAAAAATAAATATTGGGGAAAGGACTCTTTTTTTTTAGAAAGTGGTGCTAGGATAACTGGCTACCCATGCAGAATAATGGAACTGGACTCCTTCCTTTTACTACATACAAAAATTAACTCAAGATGAATTAAGGTTGAAATGTAAGAGTTCTTCATACTATAAAAACCCTAGAAGAAAACCTAAGAAATATCCTTCTCAGCATCAGCCTAGATAAGGAATTTATGGCTAAGTCCTCAAGAGCAATTGCAACAAAAACAAAAATTGGTAGTGGGACCTAATTAAACTAAATGACTTCTGCACAGCAAAAGGAACTATTAAGGGATTAACCAGATAACTTTCAGAATGGGAGAAAATATTCAGACACTATGCATCTGAGAAAGGTCTAATACCCAGATTCTTTAAGGAAATTAACTAAATGAGCAAAAAGCAAATTACCCCATTAAAAGGTGGGCAAAAGACATAAACAGACGTTTCCCAAAAGAAAATATATACGCAGCCCACAAACATATAAAAAAATGCTCATCACCCCAATCATCAGAGAAATGCAAATCAAAACCACAATGAGATACCATCTCATCCTAGTCAGAATGACTTTTGCCAAAGCATCAGAAAAATAACAGATGTTGGTGAGGCTACAGAGAGAAGGGGACCCTTATACATTCTTGGTGGGAATGTAAATTAATCTAATCACTGTGGAGAGCAGTTTGGAGATTTCTCCAAGACTAAGAATTGAACAGTCATACAATCCAACAATCCAATTACTGAGGGCTACCCCCCAAAAAATAAATTGTTCTACCAGAAGGACACATGCATCCATATGTTCATGACAGCACTATTCACGATAGCAAAATATGGATGCCCATCAATGGTCGATTGGATAAACAAAATGTGGTACATATACACCATGGAATACTATGCAGCCATAAAATGAATGAAAATGTTGTGGGACTTTTCCTTAGTTCAGCTAAATAGAGGGTTCTTGTCAGTCCCACAGCCATGAAAATTTAGGCTAGCAGACAGCTTAAAGGGTAAAAGCAGGGTTTTATACGACGAAAGGGAAAAACGGGGAAAACAGTGACTCTGGCTAGGCCAGATTCCCTCCACTAGGGCACTTCCTGCCCGACAATTTGAATCTCAGGTTCCACACAGGAAGAGGAGGGGCCAGGCTCCTCCCTGCTGCAAAAGTCATGAACTTCCAAGGCTCCACCGCAGTGAGCAGGCTGGTTTGAGATTCTCCAGGGACCCCCTTCCACCTGGCTGTCTCAAAATCATGTCCTTTACAGAAACATGGATGCAGCTGGAGGCCAATATCCTAAGCAAACTAACACAGAAATAGAGAACCGAATACTGTATGTTCTCACTTCTAAATAGAAGGTAAACATCGAATACACATGAACATAAAGATGGGAACAAAAAAAAAGGATAATTAGAGGGTGAAGAGAAGGAAGTGGGCAAAGACTGAAAAACTGTCTGTTGGGTTCTATGCTCACTACCTGGGTGACAGGTTCAGTCATACTCCAAGCCTCAGCATCACACAATATACCATTGTAACAAATGTGCACATGTACCCCTGATTCTAAAATAAAAGTTGAAAAAAAATGAATCATTTAATATATTTCCCTTTTCTCTTATTATAAAGGTAGAAATTGATATTGTCTTTCTTAAAAATAAACCAAAATAAGGCTTTGATACAACCCCAATTAACATAAAAATAAGTAGAGCTCTGCCAGTGTGCAAATTTGACCTAGATTGTTTTCAGGTTTTAGGATGAGTCATATGACTTTAGTGGAAGAATTGCTTTTGAACCAGAAAAACTGAACTTTTTTTAAAAAATTAAAATGCTATCCTCTTCTGTAATGTTTCACAATATGCACAGAAGAAAATATAATATTCCTTGAAATATTCAAGTAACAAATATTCTGTGCAGACATTGCACTGAATATTGCCTGCACTGAAGTAGATGCACAATGTTACACAATGTTCTGTGTCTTAAACTAAGCCAGCTTGAAAGAAATGTTTGTTTAGTGCCCTGAGGGTCAAAACCCCTGGGATTCCTGTTCAGACAAGGACAGGCAGGGGATTCCAAAGATGACTCTAGGGCTTCAAAGTGTAAATTCGGGAGCATTTTGACAGAAGTACTTCAGTCCTGACCTTAACTCCTGCTGAATGGCTTGTTCCTGTGAGAGAAAACCTCTCTTCTGCTGAACTGTTCAAAATTCATTTCCAATGTGCATTTGCTCTGCTCCACTCTGTCTGAAAATATATGCAGACAAAGTTGATTGACAGCCCTCTAGTTACCATACCATGAAGGTTGACACCAGAAAGGCTACAACTTTAATTCACTGACAGCTGAAAGCTACCGAACTTAATTTCTTAAGGTTCATTCTTAAATTTCTACTCATTGTCCCAAGAGGAAAACAAATAATAGGGGATTACTTAGGACTAATGGAACTCTGTATAGAAGGATGTAAATACGGAAATTGCAGTCATATATTCTCTGCTCTTCTGAGAAGAAAAGAAATCACATTATTCAAGTAATTCTCACAAAGATGGCTGATGAAATCATTTCATTTGCCAAAATATTTATTTTTCAAGTAGGAAAATAGGGTACATTTAATATATAAATATTTTAAATAATTTATCATTTTCAAATTAATTTTTAAAGAATTTATTATTTAATAATTTAGACATTAATAAAATATAAAATTTTCTTATAATTAAGTATTGAAATTGTAGAATAAACTGTCAAGTGGCTCACAGAAATTTAAAGTTCAATCCCATTCTCCTTTTTCTATCTCTAAAATTCTGGCTGTGCAAACTAAATTCTCGCCCTGTCCCTCTTGTATCTAGAGATAGTTCTGGCTAACAAACTACACTCTGAAGTTAATTCCTGCTTTTATTTTCTGCTTCCTTTCTCCTTCTACTAACATAAAATTGGATGTGACATTAAAATGCAACAAATACCATGCAGTATGAGGGAAAGGCAGAGAGAGAGAGAGATCAGTGTGAATGTTATTGATTCTTTATATTCCTATTTCTCAATATGTTAAATAATTTTCCTCACCCACACCCCAAAGATGCTCACATCCTTATCCTCAGAACCTGTGAACATGTTACCTTACATGGTAAAATGGACTATGCAGATGTGATTAAATAAAAGTCTTAAGGCCAGCAAAATAGAATCATAGTAGGAGGCAGGAAAAAGGATGAAAGTCAAAGAGAGATTTCAAGATGCAACATTACAGGCTTTGAAGATGGAGGCAGGGGCCATAAGCCAAGGAATGCACACATCCTGTAGGAATTGGAAAAAAAAAAAAAGAAGGAAACAAATTCTCACCTAGAGCCTTCAGAAGAACACAGACTTCCTGACCTATTTCAGATTTCGGAAGTCCAGAATTGTAACGGAATGAAATGTGTATTTTCTTAAGCCACTACCATACTGGCAGTTTATTACAGCAGCAATCAGAAAATAATTCAGCCACCGATCAGCCACCAATTTCTGTTATTCGCAATGTAACTCAATCTTAATGGAAACAATTGCAGAAGCATTCTTATATCTCAAACAAACATTCCAGAAAATCCCTCAAGGGAAAGCTTTAAAATCAAGTGAATCTCCAATGGGAAGTGGCACTTTTCGTTCAGGGATTCATGTGTTTGATTTATTTAATTAGGAGGAATTTTGTTAAAGCAATATTGTCAAGAATGATACAACTTGTTCATCAATTTATTTGTTTTTTTTCTTCTTTAGCAAGAATGATAACCTTTTCAGCATCCCTCCTTGCATGTGGGCATAACCTGTGATTTGTTTCTGTCAATAGAATATGGTAAAAGTGTTGAGATGTACCTGATTACATTGAAGAAGATGGAAGCATTGGTCTGCTAGAGTGTCTCTCTTTCCCCTGTTGGCTTTAAAATGTCCAGTAACTGACTTGGCAAGAAACTCAAAATGCTTCTAGAAACTGAGAGTGACCTTCTGAGGACAGCCAGCAAAAAGCAATTTCCCCAGGGACTAAAGTTGAGAAAGCACGGCAGTGATGCACCTTTAGCCTCTGGGTATTGTGTACTTGTGTTTTTTATTAGCTAAACACCAGTACTCTTATTTCACGGTCACTGCTAAGATAATAAAAGAAAATAATCTAATGCAATCTTACAACCCCGACTCAAGTATAGCCTGGCTGCATTCATCCAATTATGTATTAGTCCATCCATTAATCCATCGATTTATACATACTAAGGAAGATGAATTGAGTGTGTGTCATCTTCCAGGTCCTAAACTAGGTATTCTTAATGATACAGACAAATGACAGAGCCCAGCCTCATTGATTTATCATACTCTGCCTTACACTAAATATTCAGGTCCAAACTAGACCTAGGCCCCCTAGTTTGGGGGGCATATCGATCAACTCTGGCCCTATACTATGCCACTAAGTAGCCAATTACTCTATGGCTAAATTTAACACTAATGCAGTTCTACAGTTGGATGCACTCACTTTAGTGAGTACTTTTAAAAGCACAAAATAACATTTAAAATTTTGAATATATGTTATAGTAGTGAGTTTTGTCACTGATTAAAAACTCCTCTGGAGTCTAACCACCTGCATTGAAATTTCAGCTATACCAGTTTCTAAGTTTGCTCCCTTAAGCAAATTACTTGTTTTAAACTACTTAGTGTCTATTTCTTTATCTGTATAGTTGAGAAAACAATGATACCTACATAATCAAATTGTTGGGAGATTTAAATAAGATAAAACATATAAATCACCGGGAACTACCCTAGAAAGTGTTCAGTAGATATCAGCTATAATTATGAAAACAGTTTCTTCACTATCACCCTAGTCTATACAAGTAGGCCTTATCCCTTATATTCTGGGCCTTGTCCTGCTCCTTTTTTCCAATGAAAGTGGAGGGAGCTATCTGTTGGCAAATGTTGGAGCAGAACGTGTGTATTCTTGATCAAGTCTTTTCCTCCTCTTCTCCTGGGGATCAGGCTGTCCACAGAAAGTAGCTTTTCAGCTCCAATGCTTGGTGCTATGTATATCACAAGGACAGCCCTAAGCCTATGGCAGACCATTTTTTTGACTCTAGGTATTACTGTATAAGTCTGCCTAATAATGAATTTCAGTTTACAAAACAAGTATTTCATTTTAATAAATGATTATAGCATATTCATTTTACTAGTTAGGAATCTATTTCAGGAAAGAGGGTACCAGTTGGAAGATGATTTTTTTGAGGTAATAAAGGGAGGGAAATAATATTTTTTAAAATGTTCTACGATTTATCTCAGTAAACTTTAGACATATTTTGCCTCGAAAGATAAATAACTGTTTGATTGTCAGATAAGGAAACCTTGGTAAATATTCTTCATATGTACTCTAAAGAGCCTACAGGATAATTTTGCCTATATTACTTTATGACTAATATTAAAAACTAGATTATCTGCATATAATTAATGACTCTAATAAACTGGAAGTTAAATAACTTCTTTATTTTTATTCACACTTATTCATTACATATTAAAAGTTCAACTATTAAATTATATAATTTAGATTTGAAAATAAACTTTTAAAAAGGTTTAAGTATTTTCATACATCACAACTAACTGTGTAAATTGGTTTTCTATTTAAAAGCAGTTGATGATGGTATTAAGTATCTCAATATATTTACACACTTTAACCAAATACTTTGTAAATATATTTCTTAATTATCCTTCAAAAAAATCAGAAATAAATATAGATGCCTAGCATGTATATGTTTATTAAAACTTAATTTTGAGCCAGGCATAGTGGCATATACTTGTAGTACTAGTTACTTGAGAGGCTGAGGCAGGAGGATCACTTGAGCCCAGGAGTTTGAGGCTGCAGTGAGCTATATGCTCTGGCCACCATAGTGCAGTCTGGGGGAGAGAGGAGAGAAAAACGTTGTCTCTGAAAGACAAACAAACAAATGACAACAACAAAACACTCAATTTGAAATTGTAAGAGACTGAAAGAATCTTTAATAGTCAATGATAGGGAAAGGCTTCATAATCTTTGCTACGGCCATAGATTTTTAATGAATCAGGCCTTAGAGTTAATGGTTATATATTTTAGGTAATGGCATGGATTTACAGATACATAATAATCTTAAGTGAAAGCAAAGTTTGTGAATGTATATGGACAGTGTGTAGCAGCTAAGTTAAAACAACACTAATAACAATAACAATTGCAATAATCCACATAGAGAAAGGGATAATTTTGAAGAGGTGATTTTTGATGTTCCTCTAAACTGTTTCCCACATTTTTTTGTATTTTCCATTTAGGAAAATCTGTATTTGTTTTACAGCTACTTTTTAAAAAAAGTATTACCTTGTTATTTTAAAAAGCATTTTGGTTTTGTTTGAAAATTTATTAATGCATTCACTGGTCAAAATTTTACTTAGTATTCGAATATAAATTCAGGTTGTTATTACAAACTCTTTTATCCTAGTTTGTAATGGGTTACAAATCTCCATAATAGATATAGAATACTTAATGAAATGATTTAATTTTGAGATGAACTATAGTAGGGTTTCCTTATGCAACCCTGTGTCTCAGCTGGATCACAGTATGAGTTCATATTGGTAATCCGGGTCACCTTAGGCAATACCCTACTGTATACCACTCCCTGAGCACCAACTTCAACCTCATATCTAGCTGCATCTGCTGATTTGCCAAGGCATTAGGACTGTGTTCTCTCTTGGGATTCAGCTATGAACAGAAGAACCTGGTACACACATTATGGGGGGTCAGAGTCAGAACTGAAAAGAATCCAGTACAATTCACCAGACTGAGCACAGGAGTTAGAGTGGAACACTCAGTCCTCACAGCTGTGCATCTTGAGGAAGGAAAGACTGATCATAAAACTACAAGTGTTTTAGGATCTGGGCGGTTAAGCAACTGTGCTGTGGGATCTCCCTAAAATATTCACGCATAGAAAAAAAAAAGAAGCTATTTCTACGAGCCAGGAGAAAAGGAAACTTTGTTTATGTAAAACAGCAGAGTATATCAGTTGGCAGCTCAAGAAAGCAGCAGTGATGGAAGCAGGGCAATGTCTGGAGCAGATTTGTGTAAAGCAATGAGGGGATGTGGTCTGAGCACAGTCCTCACACCCCACCCCCTAACATAAGTGGGGGTGGCTCCAGTATCTTCTGAGTAAAAGGAACAGGCCAGGGCAGATTTGTGTTTTTTGAGAATAAGCTAAGTGGTGCACAAGCCTGAGAAGTATAGCACCAGGGACTGTTCTCAATTCAACAGTGTATTGAAAACCTGTGGAATGTTAAAAAAAAAAAAAAAAAAAAAAAAAGGAGAGAGAGAGCAAGATGGAAAGAAACCTCATAAAGGAAACCAACATGCACATTTATGAAGTTAAAATATTATCCTTCTAGCACATTAGGAATCTATTAATGTGACTTAATTAGTGTGGTTAGGTTTAGAAACATTCACGTAATATTCTTTTACTTTTTTTAATCTATCAAATATAAGTGAAGAAGTATGTGTCACGGTTATATGATTTTTTGCAAGATTATAATTAAGAAATTTTCAAGACATTTGCAGTTGCAATACATTAAGATAGTCTATTTGATATGATGATATAAACCTGACACAAAATACTTGTTACACATTGCATTTAGTTTCAATAATATTTTAAGAAAGATTTGTGAATTTGATAAATATCCCTTAAAATAATTCAACATTTTCTTGAGTGTCAAAAAGTAAAATAAAGTTGGAATTTTAGGGCACGTGTAAGCTATGATAGGTAGGAACTGAAAGATACCTTAGAGATAACGTACTTCCTGTCTCTCATCTTATATACAATATACAAGCAAAGGAATTAATTTGACCAAATCGCATAGCTGCTGACATGCCGAAAGTCACATATCTGGGCAATGACAGTCAGTAGTCCTGAATCTGGGTCTCCATTACAAAGAGCTGCCAACACTAGTTTTGTTTCTGCTTTGTGATAATTCAGATAAATTTTCACTGAAAAGGAAAAAAGAAAATTGACCTGGTAATGTAGGAAAAATAGGCCTCTTAATACATCAGTGAGTCAATTAAGTGAATGTAGTCTTAATCAATAAATGAAGTGTGTCAAACTATTCTCACTGAGGTAGTCAACGATTCTGGAAAGTATACCTATACAAATCAGGCTGGTAGGCAATTAGGGGATTTTATGTATTTCACTTCAATTACTTTTTGTTGTATTTAGAAAAAGTGTTCCTCCTAAGAGATTATACCTTATTTATATTCTTACATTTTGATTATAGGAAAGTGGTCCATTTTTTCTTTTCCCAGATAACAAATGTTTGAAGATTAAATTAAATGTTAAAAATATAAAATATTGTTATCTAAATGAATATTATTTTTATTGACGCAAATATAAAATCCCACTTTATTGGTTAAATAATTCATGTGGGATTTTTTTGATGAGCACTTTTGCCCATGTAGTTGGACATATTTCTCTGAAATTATTATACTAAAAAATAACTGGAAAATAACATTAACTTTTTAGGAATAAGAGTTGAGGAAATCTGGGCTATATTTCATTAAAAAGAGAAAATTTGGAAAAAAAATTGATAATGCCATGGTAATAAGAGCTAGCATGAGCCAGCCCTCACAATGTGCATTCACTACAGCTGAGAACAAACCATGTGAGAAAAACTCTCATTATCTTCTGATTTCCATTTTGTAGCTGAGAAAAATGAGATACAGAAGGTTAGACAATTTGACCAAAATCAACAGCTATTTAAGAGATAGAGGTAAAAAATCAAACCTAAGTAATCAGACTCCAGAATCTGAATGCTTAACCAACACCAAACTACTTCCTTTTATTATAACTAGCTTATCAAATCCATTACAATTTCCAACCTGGAGAATTAAATTATTTTCATGGTTTTGTTATCTAAAATATTTTAAATAATATTATTTCCCCTTCTGAGGAAAACATGGTTTAGAAGCACTCTAGTCTCTGTCTGAAATATTGTTTTCCCTTTTCTTAACCTGAGCAGTATTTGGAATAAAAAGTCACAGACCCCAAATTAATAAAAGGAGGAAAAAAGACACTTTGTCAGTTGTACCTGCTGCATTGCAAGAGCAAAACAAAGAAAGTAGAAAGTACTCTCCAAGCAAGGCTTGAGAACAATGCATCCAGTTTTTTTGTTTTTTTTTTTTTTTTTTTTTGAGATGGAGTCTCACTCTGTCACCTAGGCTGGAGTGCAGTGGCGCGATTTCAGCTCACTGCAAGCTCCCCTTCCCGGGTTCACACCATTCTCCTGCTTCAGCCTCCTGAGTAGCTGGGACTATAGGCGCCTGCCACCATGCCCGGGTAATTTTTTTTTTTTTTTTTTTTTGTATTTTTAGTAGAGACGGGATTTCACCATCTTAGCCAGGATGGTCTCGATCTCCTGACCTTGTGATCCACCGGCCTCGGCCTTCCAAATTGCTGGGATTACAGGCGTGAGCCACCGCACCTGGCCCCAGGTTTTTAATTCATCAAAAGAGCAGGCTTTCTTTTATTTCTGTGTATTATCAACATTTCCTCAATGATTTGTGGCCAGCAAGAAAGGAGGAATCTCATGTTGTGCAAATTAGGAAAGATGGTACATTATACTAAGACTCTGAGCAAGAAACTGGAAAGGGGACTATGTGTTCATGAATTACCAAACTTCAAGATGGGTTTTTTAGAATGAGAGTGATAAGGTATATTTGAATGAAGTCAAATATTTCTCCAATAAATATTAGAGATCTATAAAGGTGTTGTGGTATTTGTCTAGAGAATAAAAATAGTTAGATCAATAAAGTGACAATAGTATTTATCCAAGCATGAGTTCTGTTATTAGAGATCTCGTTAGCTATATGTAGAGATATCTGTTAGTTCAGCATTTAAAGTTTAGAGTATGTGAGAATAGTTCTATTAATCATGGATGGGCAGAGTTTTTAACCATTGGTCCGCCTCGTCCTCCAGACCTAAGTATTACCAAGACAATGAACATTTCCTTATGGCTTTTATTAAATTTGTAACAAAAATGCTTCTAATGTACTCTTTTATTTTCTTTATTGCCCACCATATTATAATTCCATGATAACAGGAATAACATATTACTATTAATACTATTATGAATCCAGCATCTAATATGGCACCTTACAAATAGTAGATTCTTAGCAAACATTTGTTAAAATGTGTTAAATGAATGAATAATTTACTGTACAATATCAAAATATGTAACCTTTTTTAGGGAAACGAAGATAACATGTTCCTAGGATAATGTAACAAGAAATAATCTTGCCTCTAGCCGAATGGATGATAGAAAATTTCAGATTAATTCTACTAGGGCCACCTTAGGTCTCTTATACAGCTAAATTCAGCTGGTGGGTTGGCTGGAGGCTGTGGTCAGCAAGAGGAGTTGGGATGGCTGGGATTCTCTTTTCATGTTTTCTCACATCTTATGCTTCTTAATGACATGATGTTTCAGAGCACTGTTGCAAGGAGGTGAAGGCAATGTTTCAGTCTCTGTTTGTTTCACATTTGCTGATGTTCAGTTGGCCATCACAATTGACATGACCAAGCCCTGATTCATTGTAGGCAAGATAGTAAAACAGGGCATGGGTACTGGTAAGATATGTTCACCGTCAGCCATCACTATAACAAGCTACCACAGTAGCCCATAAAATCTAGCAAATGATTTAAATCTAGAGAAATGTACTTGCATAGGGAATTTTCAACGTAAACAATTGGGATACAATTTCACCAAAAGAAGAGGAAATGGCATTCATTTTTCCCTGATTTCAAACAAAACATTTGATTGTCAAAGAGGTATCAATTAAATAATTCAAGCATGAAATTAAGCTTCTCTTTCAAAAGATACTATTATTGGTATTATTGATATAAGAGGATGAATCAGTGAAACAGTGAAATCAGAGAGCTTAAATGGGTGTTAGGAAGAAAATACCATCCATTTTCCTTTCTAGCATGATATTACAGTTAACTTGTTTTAGAAGATTACAATTTATAATTTGCTTTAAGCATTTCTATAAAGGGAGATTCAGCTTCTCTTGAAATGTATTTTACTTCAGAAGTAAAAATGGAAAAGTAGAAGGGAAAAGGCATTATATTATAGAGAGAAGGCATTACATCAAAGTCAATACTTTGGAGTTAGATTTGGACTTGAGTTGCAGCTTGCCCTGTATAGTACAGGTTTGCCTTCAATCAACAGTTTAATACTTCTAGGTCACAATTTATTGCTGTGTAAAGTGAGACAGTCTCATTTGCTTTGTTTTGAGTTAAATTCAATAAGCTATTGAGAACATTTTCACAAAATGCCTGACATATAGTAAGCACTCAATAAAACATAACTTTGATTATTATTACTTGATATTTTTAATAAAAAGCAAAAATTCCAAGAATCCCTTAGGCCAAGTATTTTCTACTTAATTTTTAATTCACTTTTAATGGTCAAGAATAGTGTGACACTAATATATTTCAGGTATTTTTTTTCCATTTTCACTTAGGTATAATCATAAACATAAAATGAATAATAAACATAGTATCCCATAGTTTAAATATTAAATAATGTCAATCAACTACTGATAGAATAAGTAGTTATATAATGTTTATTACTCTTTAATGCACTTTCACATGTATATATGCACACTCACATATATACATCTGTCTTTCAAAACATTTTTTGTGGATATTGTCTGTGGTTGTAAAATTTTACACAAATAATTAGTTAGTTTTGAAGTTCAAAGGTATTTAATTCAAGAGAACATATCTAGGTTCAAGTCATTATTTAGTAATGTGGTTTCATTTAACTGGTAATGGTAAATTAATATATTTCTTTTTCTGGTTTTTTTTTTTTTTTTTTTTTTTTTTTTGAGGCCAGGTCTTGCTTTGTTGCTCAGGCTGGAATGCAGTCATGCAATCATGGCTCTCTGTAGTCTCCATCTCCTAGGCTCAAGTGATGCTCCTACCTCAGCCTCCCAAATAGCTGGGACTACCAGACTGCACCACCAATCCCAGATAATTTTTCATTATTTGTAGAGAGTGCATTTCACTATGTTGCCCAAGCTGGTCTTGAACTCCTGGGCTCAAAAGATCCTCCCACTTCGGCCTCCCAAAGTGCTGAGATTACAGGCATGAGCCACCATGCATTGGTCTGATTTTGCTTTCTTTGGGAAAGGAAAAGATGGGAAAGGTAGAGAGTATTTAAACTTATATTAGTGAAATATTTTGGGTTGCAAAAAACCAGAAATTTGCTAGATTAAGTAAAATATAAAATATGTATTATAAGTGTTCAAAGGTGTCTCACTAAACATAAAGAGCAGAGATGTAGATTGGAAAGAATGGTGCCTAAGTGGCTCATACCTGTAATCCCAGCACTTTGTGAGGCCAAGGCAACAGGCTCACTTGAACCCAGGAGGCAGAGACTACAATAAGCCTTGATGGCACTACTGCACTCCCACCTGGGTGACAGAGTGAGGTCCTGCCTCAAAAATAAATAAATAAATAAATAAACAAATAAATAAATAAAAAACAAAATTGTCAGCACTTTCTGTGACTCAACTGGTTTTTGTTATGCATTTGTTTCATTTTTCTTTCTCTTTGCAGGCCTGTCTGCATAGTTTAAGAACAGGATCAGCCTATACCTCTCTAGATTCCTGTTAACAATTTCATGTTGTAAACAGTATGCTTTGTATCTTCCACCTGTTCATGCTGAGCCCCTCTCTAACCTGTTTCTCCCTGAACCCTTCCCAGGAAGTGGAGCTGTATGGACTGCATCAACAGAGCTGTCATCTTCTCTGGCTTTTAGTTGGATTTGGCCAATGGAAAGCATGACAGACATTTTAAAAACTAATAATAGGGGGACCGTATTTTAATGCAGAGAGAATTCTGATGGAGACTTCCAACTGCTCCTGGAAGCCACACAAAAGACATTTTGAACCTCCCTCTGTTATGCATCCTGGTCCCTGAGAATCCAGAACTTGACTGCTATTCTCCTCTTTATTTTCTTTCACCAAGGTATAGAATCTGCTTGCTACTGGCTGGCCTGAATCTGATGATAGTTTCCATGTAGAATTTCAGAGCCAGTGTCAGCAGATAGCCTGTTTGAGAGGTTTCTGTTACCTCTGCTTTTACAAGCCAGATCTCAACATGAAATCAAGTTTTTATTGATCTAAAGATGAACAGTGAAAAAAACTCTACTCTTTTGTCTAGAGAGAGACTTCCACACAAACTGGGATATTGCCTTCCTTACTGCAAGTTCAATTGAGTGTGCTCTGCTTTTCAGTGATAGCTGGAAATATCTGGGTTTAGCTGAGAAGTTTACTTAAAATAAAGCATATAGACCTGTGCCATATAATACTGTAGCCACTAGCCATAGGTAGCTAATTAAATTAAGTTAATTAAAAGTAAGTGGCGCGGTGGCTCATACCTGCAATCCCAGCACTTTGGGAGGCCGAGGAGGGGAGATCACGAGGTCAGGAGATCAAGACCATCCTGGCTAACACGGTGAAACCCCGTCTCTACTAAAAATACAAAAAAATTAGCCGGGCGTGGTGGCGGGCTCTTGTAGTCCCAGCTACTCGGGAGGCTGAGGCAGGAGAATAGCATGAACCCGGGAAGCGGAGCTTGCAGTGAGCCGAGACTGCGCCACTGCATTCCTGCCTGGGTAACAGAGCAAGACTCCGTCTCATAAATAAATAAATAAATGAAATCAAAAGTTCAGTTTTTTGGTTGCTCTTGTTACATTAAAGTGCCCAGTAGTCACATGGGGCCATGGTGATGATATGAGTTAACACACATCTCTCCTTCCTTTCAGAACGTTAGATTGGTGAGTGCTAATATAGACAATACACTAATTCTTGAAATATACAGCACTATATTGTTTCCATTATGGAGAGAGATTTATTCAAAACACTTTTAGGGTCAATTGATGTTTATTCTGTAAATATGCTGGAGGTTCTTTGAATTAAAAAAGCAAACCAAAGATAAGATGTACGCTGGAGGTTCTTTGAGTTAATAAAGCAAACCAAAGATAAGAATTGGAAATATTTATTGATTACCTATAAAGTACAGGTACTATGCTGAGTTCTTTTCATGCATTAGCTCATTTGATCCTCAAAAATCCATAATACTTGCATACTATTAGTATCTCACACTCTGGAGTCTTACAGCTAGGAATTGGTAAAGGCAAAATTAGAATCCAGCTAATTTGGCTCCAAAACCTGTGTCTTAGCAATCATGCTCTACTGCCTTCCTAATAGTTGGGGAAATACTGAATTACTTGGGCCTTTTTTTTTTTCTGTGAAGGAGAACGAGCAGGTAACCATCATCAAGGAAAATGAGACCTTGTTCATTACCCTGCAAGCATACAATACTTCTGAACAAATTTTTAAATGCATCTGCCATATGAACTGAGTATGATGTGAACTTGTTTTACATGTATAAAAAAACTTCTAGAATGTTTTTGATTTTATTCAAAGGGATTTGATCATTATAAAGAGTATACAGTTAATTTTGAAGAGATTTCAAAAAATATACTCCTAATACAGCATTCTTTCATAATCATCAGTAGAACATATATATGTTCTTTTCTTTTCTTTTTTTTTTTTTTTTTTTTTTTGCAAATTAGCTATTTTAAAAACCATCTCAGTGACAAAAAAAAGTAAAGAGATATATTGGAATACTAGTAGATGATTTAATTCCCTTAATCTCAGTCAGTTCAACCAAGGTCTTTACTAGGGAAAGTTAAAGTATTTAAAGAAGAATTTATGCCTACAACATTTGCATAGCCATGCTGAAGAACTAACATTTTATTGATGAGTTGCATCTTTAATACAATTATTAACTATGTCCAAAAATATATTTTTATTTTTGAAAAATATGTATTTTTATTTCACAAATATGACATGGAAGCACTTCAATGTCCATTCTATTTACATAGTATAAAAACATACAAGGGAAAAACAAATTAAGTAAGTAAATATTTTTTATTTAATGTCTTGTAGCACAAATATATGAGTTAAATAGCTGAAATGCATTTTACATTTTGCATACTTACAAAGCATGAAAAGTATCTTGGCATATTTACAAATATATCTTTAAAACAATGAAACACCTCTTGACAATAATTGTGTCTTTTTGCAAATACAAAACTCCTTATTTTTTTTTTATTGGCAGCAGTTTGGTTTGCATAAGTTAGTAATTCCTGCTGTGCTAAACTAATTCAGAAAGGATGATTGACAGCAACTTAGATATTCAAAGGCCAAATTGCATAGATCAGACTGGATTGACTTCCTCACTTCCCAATATTCAAATAGGATATTTTTCTGATACCCTCAAGAGGTTTCTGAAGATTGCACTGCATTATTGCATCCACTAATTGCTCATCATGTTTCTCAACTTGTATGGAAAATGACAAGTGAGATTTTTTTCAAAATATGCCTTCTCTACTGTTGGGGAACATTTATTTTTTAAAATATCAGGGAAATAGTGCATTATTCACTGTGGTTTTGAAATTTGAACGTTACCCATGATCATGTTTTCAAATACTTTTTATAAATTTATTTTAGAGCATTAAAAAGTAGAAAGCACATTTGGTTGGTTTTTTGGTTTATACGTTTGTATGTTTCACAGTCTTGCTCCTAACTAGTATCTGTGTAATCACCATTTAGTTGACAAGTTATGCACTGTGTAGCTAACGATTTACTCTGCAGGTCTGTGTTGTGCAAACTCTGCACATTCCAAGAAAGGATTAGTCCTTGACCAGTTCCTAGGAAATAACTTCTAAACCCTTGGAATATAATGCTTGATAAGAGTATTTGTGTTTACTTGGCACCTAGAGCCACACCAGGTAGTCTATGCTAACTGTGTAATTTAAGGTGGGGGTCTTGGTTCATGAGGTATCACTTTGACCTTTGGAGGGGCAAGAGACTGAGTAAATGAGGCCAGCTGTGCAGACCCAACATGACCAAACCCACAAACATATCTGGTCACCAAGCCTTGGATGAGCTTTCCTGGTTGGCAATACTATCTATGTGTTGTCCCACACAATTGCTGGGAGGATTATGTGCTGTTTATATGACTCAACTTGGAGAAGAAAACTGGAAACTTGCACCTCTGTGCCTTTTTCCTTTCTGATTTTAAATTGACTTCCTTTCACTGTAATAAACCATTGCTGTAAGTGTAATAGCTTTTCTGAGTTCCTCTATTGAATCATTGAACCTGAAGATGGTCTTGGGGACCCACTGAATACACACAGGTAGGGGTGTGTGTGTGTGTGTGTGTGTGTCTGTGTGTGTGTTGAAAGCACTTGTAAGATCTTTGTGCACTTCACCTCATAGAATCCTAAAATCATTGCTTTAAGGTCACATAACATGAAAACCCACATATTCTTTTTGCCAAAACTTAAGATATAATAACTCTAGCATGAGATCTTCACTTTTTAAGGGTGTAGTCTAAATTACATTATGATTTCTTACTTAGGATTGTAATATAGATCCATGTTAGATGCTATGAGTTAGTTTTATGTAAGTTATACTGACAGCAAGAAAATCTGTGATAATATTTCATTTTTTCTAATGTATTTTCTTTAAAATTGTACCCCTGCTCGCACTTAAAATCTCAATTATCCAAACTACAATAAGCTATTATTATTGTTTAGCCTAAAAAAATCTTGATATAATACAAATCATCTTACCTAATTTAGAGCTTAACAATTGTTTTATTCATATTCAGGTGAAAATCTATTACATGATGAAGATAAACATTTAAATCTGTGCAAAAGGGGTGAACTAGAAATGAGAAATGATGTTCAGAAAATAAGCCACCCTTTATGGGAAAAAAAAAGAAAATAAACTACAAATAATATTCTACCTCACCTAGTACCACAAAAACCTAGGTGGCTTAAAAAATATATATACAGTTTATATATATATATAAATTATATATATATTTATATTTTTATATATTATATATAAATATATACACACATACATGTATTCAAATACACATATATGTAAAAAATTAAAAATAATATTTTATCAGATTTAAGTAGGAAATGGCTTATAAAACAAACAGTAACCTTAGAGGAAAGAATGATAACTCGATCCTGTAAAACTAAAACTTTTTATAATAACAGGAACATGAAACATACTTCTAATAAAATTCAATTGACAACGTAGGCAAAAAATATTTGCAACAGAACAGGAAAATAATAAAGAAGACTTATCACTTAAAAAAGAAAGTGAGCAAAAATTATATATAGCTGTTTCACAAAAGAATCACTGCTAATAGGCAATAAATGTTAGGAAATTTGCTTACTGTAGCTATAATTAGGAATCTTGAACAATGTGTCATTTTTCCATCAAAGAATACAATATATAACTCCATGTCTACAAAGGAAAATATGCAGGTTTACGTGGACATATATATGCATGAAAATACATAGAAAAATCAGTTTGACCAGAATTATAGCATATGGTTAATAGTGATTCTATCTAGAAAAGAAAACAGGAGCAGGAGTGGTAGTCATACTGGGTAGCTAGGGATGGGGAGTAAAGTGTATTTAAATCTTTTACTTCATATATTTTGTTATTGTTTGTATATATTACAGTAATTACATACTTGTGCATTTTTTATTTTTAATTTGAATACAATTTATACTCTACCATCTATTTAATGACAGCCTTTAGGTAGATCAATTCGAAATAGAACTTAAAGAATGTGAAAGTATTTTTCTTTCACCTGCAGGTGAGAAAATAAGTTCCAGACAATGGTGAGATACAAATACAGAGATCATGTTGATCCAAGAATAAGATTTCTACATAAAATTTCTCAATTAAACTTTAGTTCTCTTTCATGCCTTCTGTTGATGACTGGCTAGAAATGATTTTTCTAATCTCAAGAAGACTGCTATTTTATGATTGGTAGATATTATTGTGCTTTCTTAAATTTTATGAAGCATAAATTGCAGCACATGGAGCAAATCTTTAGAGTATGAGACTCAAAAGTGCCTTCTATTACATTATGAGCCTTCAAGCACTATTGAAGTACTTAAATGCCTTTGCAACTTACACATATATGCACAACACTCCATCTGATTTTATGGACTAGGAAATTGAGGTTTACAATTTACAACTTCCAATTTGCTGAAAGTCATATAACTATTACTATAAAACTATAATTATTATTGGTACACTTCACTCTCAGTCCAGTACTTTTACTAATACAAACATTGTAATTCTAAAGTGCCTCATGGATTGGCACTAAATATTTAGTGCTGGTGAATCACTAACCTAGTTTTACTTCTGAAAATAGAAATTCACTTTTCCCAAAAAAGAAAACCCTATATTTGAAGTATCAGTTAGCTAAAATGTTATTCCTTTTGGAAAATGTTCACAATACATGAAAAATAAAACATTGCACCTTTTGGTACATACCGCACAGTTCTAAGTATCTCACATTTCTTAGCTAATTTCATCTTTACAACACCCCTACTATGTAGCCACCCTTATTATTATTCCCTTTTCACACATGAGGAGGATGAGGCAATGAGACATCAAATGGCTTGCCTAAGGTAACGGGAAGTAATGACCAAGCCCAGACACAAACTAAGGTTTGAGTGACCTTATTCTTAACCATTTCACTCTGACTCTTGGAGAGTAGCAATGTCTCTGAACTCCCCATGTGCTTTACTAAGTTCTGTTTTACGCCAATGTGTCTTAGAATTAGTTGCTTTACACAATGTTCATCAAATGGTAAAAATTCAATTTTAAAAACTCATGTTGTTTTGAATTTTCTCCTGTTTGTAGTCTTGTCTTCTCTGCTATAAAGGAGGCCCCACAAAGATAGGAGCTAGGTCTTACTTTGCTTTAGATCACCTCCTATTGGCTACAAAATTGTGGTTTACTTAAAGCAGGTGCTTTTAAAACATTTGTTAAATGAAGAATGAATGAATTAATGAAGAAAAGATGAATTGTCCTGACTGAATAAATAAATGAATACAATATCATTTATAAAAAATAAAATGTACAATTCAATAATAGAAGATAACTTACTAAGATATTATTCAGTATTTCCTTTGAGAAAATAGCATCAGTGAGTGTTTTCATTCTTGCTGAGTGAGTGTGTGTGTGTGTGTGTGTGTGTATGTGTTTTTAATGAAACTTGGGATGCTTGGTCAGTGCTCAGTGTGTTTGTGGCTGCTTCAAGATTATCATATTCAGGAGAGTTTAGTTAGACTAATTTTCTCCCTGAATTTAAATGTGGATGCCTCCTTTAGGTATTGTAAGTGAGGTTAATGAAACGTTAACTTCCAATCCTAGTTGAGACCATTTATATGCTAATTATTAAGCAAAGACAGTCTAAGAAACAAATATGCAACTGCACTCAAAGCACTTTTAAAAAATGTTGTCCTTATGGTCACTGTTATTTCTTCACTCATCTAGAATGACTTCTTTTATCCAGTTATTCCCTGTGACAGCTTTTCCAACTTAGATGACATTGCAAAGAAAGTAGGTTGTCTAACCTTCTCCCTCTAACTTTATAGCATTTACTTCAGAATACCCCACATTTTGTATGACAAAGTCAAACAGAGGGAAATATCTGGTGGTTAATGTTCTAAGAATCTGTCACATAAATAACATTGAATAAACAAGCCCTTTGTAGTTAAAGCCTTCATAATAATCATAATCGTTTTCCTCATCATGGCTATTTTACTTTTTAGCAGGCATTTTTATTTTATATACCATTTTTATGTAACCATGAAAGGCATAATATGGTAGTCCCTTCTTATCCATGGTTTTGTTTTACATGGTTTCAGTTACCCACAGTCAGCTGTGATATGAAAATATTACATGGAAAATTTCAGAAATTAACAACTTTTGCTTTTTAAATTGTGCACTGTTTTGAGTAGCATGATGCAATCTCGCACCATCTTGCTTCATTCTGCCCTGGACCTGAATCATCCCTTTGTCCAGCATATGAATACTGCAAATGCTATCACCTGCTGGCCACTTAATAGCCATCTTATGGCTCATAGTATTGCAGTGCATGTGTTCAAGGTCAACAGTAGCCTAAGACTACGTCACAGTGCCTGCATCGTTCACCTCACTTCATCTCATCATGTAGGCATTTTATCATCTCACATCTTCATAAGAAGAACTGGGAGTACACTGTAGTAAGGTATTTTGAGAGAGAGCATATTCACGTATCTTTCATGACAGCATATGGTTATAATTGTTCTATTTTATTGTTAGTTATTATTATTAGTCTTTTACAGTGCCTAATTTATAAATTAACCTTTATCATAGGTAGGTATGTATGTATAGGAAAACACAGTATATACAGGTTTCAGTACTTTGGCATCCACTGGGGATCTTGGAACGTATCCCCTACAAATAATGGGGAACCACTATACCAAATATATTGCAATGCCTCTCAAAACAGATATACTATTGAATCATTGTTATGATTTTTTTTGAGAAATTACTTCTCTAATTAAGAAATGTCTAGTGTTATAATGTCTGTATTAAGAGAGCTACTAAAATGGAATCACTGAACACTATTCTAGTTACAGGCAGAAACAGAACTTTACTGCAGTTAAGACAGATATGTCTCATTGGGAGTTTTTGCTTAAAAGCTATGTCTAGCACAGTTGTGTCAATAAGAAATTGTTGATTTCACGACAGAGATTAATTTCTTTCTAAAACTTGCTCCTTTTCTTTAGCCTCACAGCTTATTGGTGAGGTTTGTCATTTCTTGTCCACAGCAGTTGGAATATATTTTTTCATTAAATGCTACAGACACTGATAACTTGATAACACATGCTTGCTCTATTTCTTCACTCACTCAGCAACCCTTTATTAAGCAGTGATCATGTGGCTGGCTCCAAAGCAGCTGCACTACTTTAATGTGGCTGTAACTGTGGAACCAGCCTAAATTTGGTCTGCTCTGTTAAAAACAAAATGTAGAGTTACTTTGTAGGTATGTTGGAGTAGGCAGATAGCCAGCAATGGAAACCGACCCAGTAGTCTCATAGGCAATTATTATTATTCTTTTGACATTTTATTATTACATGACTCTTTTGACATCAATATTATTCAGATTGACATTTCTAGTCTTAAAGCTTAAAACTCACCAGATCCAGACAATGAGATATCAGGCCTCTCAAAGAGTATAAAAGAACAGAAACTCACCATATCATCGCATCCAGACAATGAGATGCCAGGCCCCTCATTCATCGTGATTCTTCCTTGCCCCTCCCAAGTTCCAGTTTTCATATATAGTTACATTTCTTTTTCTTCCTTGCTATATAAACCCCTAATTTTAGTCAGTCAGGAAGATGGATTCGAGACTGAGCTCCGATCTCCTCAGCTGCAGCACCCAATTAAAGCCTTCTTCCTTGGCAATATTCACTGTATCAGTGATTGTCTTTCTGTGCAGCGAGCAGCAAGGCCTAAATCAAATCCCTGGTGTGTAAGTAACAGATTTTGACTCCCTGACCTGGAACCCAGCTTGTGGCTTGGTTGCCATGGGCAAGGAGTCTCAGAAGCCCTCCTAAGCAGCTGCCTGCCCAATTTTGACTGGAGGAGAGTTTCGGTATCTCTCTGGCCCTGCTGCAGCTGGCCCCAGCCACATTCCTAATTGCCTAGGAAGAACTGCCTTTGAAATTTGGCATCTGCATCTGTTTAGATGAGGGGCCCTTTGTGGGCCCAGGCACATGAACTACTCCTATCACTTTGGAAATTTTTTTAAAAATTTCTGTTAGTTGGTTGAACAAGCCCAACTGACTGAGAGAGGGAAGCACCTTGACTGTTTCAGTATGAACACTATGTGGGGATTGTTTGCAATTATATTATGTGTCCTGGAAAGTGAGTGTCTTTTGTTGGTACCAGACAGTGGGATTGGCTCCTCTCAATCAGAGAAATCTTGAGGGAATTTTTGTTTGCAGGTTGATCAAGCCCAACCAATGGAGAGGGGAAGCATCCTGTTTCCATTAGGACACTCTTGAGGTTAGCTGTTGCAGCAGTTGGAATGTGTTTTGGTGATTGATTTTGTGTGTGTTACGGAAAAATTAGAATTCAGTAAGCTGATACTCCTTTGTAATACTGTTTGGCTCCAGTACTTCTAAACAGTGTCGGGCCTGGTTAGCGTGTGACATTCTTCTTTGGTGCTGTTTGGCCCCAGTGTTCTGTGTAGCCTGGGAAGGTTTAGCCTTTAAAAGTCAAACTGCCATGGAGACTGCTTTACCCATAATGTTGATCTACACCCTTCATTGGATTAACTATCAGGGAAAACAAAGTGTAGCCATGTAAACTGATGAGTTTGTATTGTTATCTTATGGCTAGAGCTCTGAGGTAAATCTATTGGATCTTTGCTTATGCATATGTATACATGTCTGGATGTGCTTATGTATGTACATTTATTATGTTATATGTCGTGCCTACCAAATTGGTTTAAAAATAAAAAAGCATTCATAAATTAAGCCCAAAGTATTTCTCAAATTCACAGGACTTAAGTAAACTTTTAATAAATAAGCTGGTTTTAAAATTGTTGGTAAAATAAAAACAGAAATTCTTCAGAATTGCTAGCATGCATTTTTTTTTCTGGGTTAATTTTTATCTCTGCTAGATATTTTGAAGTGTCAGAGTTTGGCATAAAAGGTTATAAAACTATGAACCCAGCCAAACAAAATGATCTTTGTGTAATTTTTTTGGATAAGTAAGACTGATGTAATGTTGCTGGTTTAATGAAAACAGCTGAATCTTCAGAGTTACTGGTGAAAATGCCCATGTAGCTAACTTTAAGGGTTTTTCTATGTTCGCTAATGTTCACTGGCTATGAAAAATAAATAAACAAATAAAGGTTAACAAAGAAATAACTATTTTTAAATGATGGCTAGCTATGTTTAATGTATCGGTTTTTAGAAATAATCTAGATAAGCTGTTAAAAATGAAAGAATTGAGAACATGTAAGTGAGATAAATGTTGGAGGTAAACTTTTTGTGTAATTTAAAAATTTTAAATTATTTTTGATGCTAACTAAATGTCTGAGTCATTTCCAATTAAAAAACAGTTATGATACAAGGAAATATATTTCTAAAAATTATGGAATGGGGATGTTTTTCATCTATAAAATACTAATATCTGGTAGGCAGCTCAAGATTTCTTGCTTCCTACATTTTCACTAAAATCTAAGTTTTCTAAGGATGAGAATTATAGATAATATATAATTCTGTATATAAAATGGGCCAAAGAAGATATGTTTTTAGTGAGAAAAAGAACAATTTTGTCTAATTCAGAAGTTGTCTAAAAATTAATTCAAATTACAGACTCGAAAAGGTTATTTTTGAACCAAGGTAGAAAGGAACCAGGGAGGAGAAGAGAAAGATGTGAAGAAAGCTATGGATAGGAGCTTGCATTTTTGGTAAGGCAGATTATAAAGAAAACAAGATTTAGGTCAAAATAGAAAGTCCAAGTATGTTATAGATCATCTGGGTAAGTCATACGTAGTTTTTTCCTTTTTCTCTGTATGTCTACTTTGTGCACATACAGAGAAAATAGAAAGTTAAAAATGTTTACATAGTAAAATACTCTTTAAAACATGATAGAAAATTAGAGAAATTAGATTAATTAACATCTCATAGTTAAAGCTCTTAGTCTTGATGAAAGTAAAATAAGAATTATTTTAAAAAATACACTGGAAGTTTGGTAATTTTTTTAAATATAATTAAGCATGAAGCTACATTTAACATGGAACCAAATTTCACATACATGCTTGTATTGCCTCACACTATATTTACTATTCTTTATAGATAGTACTAACACTAAAGTACTTATTGGTCATGTACCTAAAGTGAATTTCTTAATTGTACAAAATGTTAGGGGGATTGAAGGATTTAAAGGCATTATATTTTGAATCAGGGACAAAATATTCATCCAGGTTTTTTGTTTGTTTGTTTGTGTGTTTTTGTTTTATTTTGTTTTTGTTTTTTTCAGGTTCTGGTTAACACTGTAGCCTACAAGGTAAACTAAAGAGGAGAAAAATTTGGAGTTGGTTTCTCATTTATCTGTATTTGTATTTTTTTTTTTTTGAGATGGAGTCTCGCACTGTTGCCCAGGCTAGAATGCTGGAATGCAATGGTGCAATCTTGGCTTGCTGCAACCTCTGCCTCCTGGGTTCAAGCAATTCTCCTGCCTCAGCCTCCTGAGCAGCTGGGACTACAGATGCCCCCCACCATGCCCGGCTAATTTTTTGTATTTTTAGTAGAGATGGGGTTTCAGTAGGTTGGCCAGGCTGGTCTTGAACTCCTGACCTCATGATCCACCTGCCTTGGCCTCCCAAAGTGCTGGGATTACAGGTGTGAGCCACTGCCCTCAGACTGTATTTGGTTTTAATTTTTATTTATTTGCTGTTTGTTCCCCTCTCAGTTTTACTTATAAATACATATACATATAAAACCATTGATTTTTAAAGTTTCTAATGGAAGGCTTTTATTTCCTTCTATGAATAGTCATTTTGTTTCCTATGCCTTTCCAGCAATGTATTATTTCTCTATTTATCCCAAGTTTTTAAGCTACATTTGTCAAGTCTCCAATAATTGATAGAGGACACCAGCCTTTTAAAATTTGATTGGTTTTTGCTTACCTCTGATACTCTTGAGAGCTATGAGAGCTTTAACATGTCTAAAAAATTACATAAAAGACTTACCTTTATAAGTTCTGAACAGAAATTTTGCATTATGTGTTTGTTATTTGGAAAAGTACATGAGAGTAGAAGTTTTTAAATGTTGTTTATTTCCAGGATAATTCAATTAAATCTATAATTTGAGTTAGTTTCAGATTTTTTCCTTTAATGAATGAAAAAAAAAACTGTGATATGGGCACAAAGTTTTAATGTTCAGGAAAGATGGGTCTTGTCCTCAAGGAAATTATATCAACTGGGATTTCTCTCAAACTACTTTAGTTGTGTTTACTATTATTAACATTAAGTGACATTCAGTTGGATTCAGTAGTAAAAATTTTTTTAAAATGTGAGACTTCCTAGTGATTTTTGACTCCAAGCCATTTATCACTGATGGGCCTTCATGTAAGTATTTGAAAACAAAATAAGTACAATTGTTGCATTGATTTGAAGATTTTACTGATGAAAGTTACCAGTCAGATGTCAGTTATATATCTAGAAACCAATCTTGGAAATTTGTGATAATGCTGTTTTAAATAGATGAAAAGAAATTATTGCGTGTTTGTTCTTACTTTGTCCTTGTTTTATTGTACACTATTTAAGTGAATTTAAGTGTATTACTTATCCTCATATTAAATTTCCAAAACTGATATTTGCATTTACCATTTTTTGATGTTGGAGAGAAAAGTTAGTTGTCTTACTTTGATAAGTCTGGCATAGGATGCTTTTGGTCACAGTTATGTCACTAGAATGCTAGCAATTAGACATAAGGAATGAGTAACCTAACCACTTTAATACAGTGGTTTGAAGTGCTGCAGGTAGTGATAGCTAAAGTCCAAATCACAGTGTTCTAATTTGTGACATGTTAGAGAGAATGACAGGGCTGTAGTATAAATATTCTATTAACTAAACTATTCTATTAACTAAACTTTGTGCCGTTAAGTTATAGGGCTTTGACTCCTGGGTCTGAAGAAGGCACTGACTTCTGCTCAATTTTGAGCATTGACACCAGTCAAAACCTCGTCTTCAAACTCAGGAGAAGGTGAAAAACAAAATGAACTGATTTTGTGAGACACAGGACCAGAAATTAAAACCATTCAATCGCTCTAGGCCCAGGGACTATCTTGGAAGATGTGAGCATGTGAATTATAAGGGTTGAATTTGAGGGATAAGATTAGTTCAGAGTTTTTGTATAAATTAAACATTAATATCAAAAGCACAGTAATGCAAGGCCAGCATCTGGGTCCATGTGTCAGAATAACAGGGATTGCTTGGATCACTGATGTGCTCTTTAATAGAAAATTGTAATAGGTTATAAAATTTTATGAAAATCTTACAGTCAAAATGATTGAAATTGGATAGATTTGTTCATATGGTGTTATTAAAATTAGCTTTAACTTAAATAATATACCATAAAAAGGTAAAATAAATTTCTGTTTACCTTTTGAGTAAAGTACAGGAAAAATATGCAGCAGAAAGAGACCGATTTAGTTGCCCTCATGCTTTCTGAAGTATTAGGTCTTATTTGGGAAATTGAGTCTCCTCTCTATCAAAAGGTAAATGTTTTTGTTTTAATTAATGATTATTTTATGGTGAACTGTGATCCCATTTTATAACAGGAAATGTCTTAAAACTTTGATATTTGCCAAACTTTTCAAGAACAAAATTTTAAGTTCCAAATTAAGTCCTTTTGACCTCAAACTAGCTTTTTTGTATATTACATTTCCTGAAGTCCAAGAGAGACATATTTGGCTCATTTGGCTTGTTATGTTAGAATTATGCAGGAAGCATTGTCAAATCTGTGATAGTGTTTACCTTCCTTTGGGTTATATTTATATAGATATATTGTTAATATGTGTTCCAGGATTATGTGTGACTCCTAAGATTCTGATATGTCTTAATATAGGTTGTCAGTAATAATAATTATAATTATTAGGTTAAATTGTTGTATGCCACAGAAATAACCAAATTTCTTTTCCAACTGTGTCTTTAATGATGACTATCTTAAGGCTTTTGTCATTCATCATTGTTGTTTTAGTTTGATCCTTCTCAAAAAGTGACTTACAAGCAGCTACAGTCCAGGGCTTGCTTCTTTGGAAGAGTACTAGAAAAGGAGTTTTGAATGCAGGTTTCTGATAACTTTGGAGATTGTGCCCTTGGATTAGAGTAAAAACTTCCAGAGGACTAATTGAAAGGCTGATGTGTTCATAAAGATTGCTAACCCAATATGAAGCAGAGAGCAGGAATTTCTTGCATAGACTGAACTAATAAAGGACTAAAATAATTTTTATGGTTTTTTTTAGTGTGAAATATTGCTGATTGGTTTTGTTTTGTTTTTCAGAGTCTGGGGAATTTTTTTATCTTGAGGTATTTATAGCCTTTAAGTATACTTTAAGTATATTGTGTAGAGTATACTTTTGTGAATGGAATTTGAGGCATATTTCTCTCTCTTCCTAATTTCTCCATGATTTGTAAACTATTTGTGAATATTCTTAATTCATGGCAATATGTTTGTTTGCATATATTTACTAACAACCTGTTTACGTTTATCACGGAACCCAGTTGAAGGAACTGGTTATTTTCTCAGAACTTTGGCTGAAATGGCCTGTGAGAGGTTCTAGCAAAGCCAATTTAGAAGAGCCTAAGGGGACAATGATTCTTGATGCACTTTGTGTGGGTAAAAGGCCAAGTCTATGGGACTCAAGTTTATCCTGCAGGTTGATTAGTCCTGCTGTGATTTGTATTCGTGGGGGACTGGAGAGAGAAATATTATGTTTTAGAAGAAAACTATAGTACTGGATAAACCTTTGATTACTGGTGGCCACATGGTCATCCATGGTAAGGAGCTGCCGACAATGCCCCTCCTCAGCAGGAAGAAGCCAGAAAGATTGACCACAGGATTCTGCATGATTGAGGAACTGATAACTAGAAAGGGGGGACTGAAACCAGCCCAAGAGTCCCACAGACAGTTTTTTAAAGATAATTATATAAATTGACCTGCCCTCTGGTCTTAAAGCTTAAAACTCACCAGACCCAATGAGGTACCAGGACTCTCAAAGTGTATCAAAGAACTGAAACTCACCAGATCATCACCTCCAGACAATGAGACACCAGGCCCCTCATTCATCATGATTGCTTCCTTGCCCCTCCCAAATTTCTGTTTTCAAATATTTTGTTACATTTCTTTTTCTTCCCTGCTATTAAACCCCTAATTTTAGCCAGCCAGGGAGATAGATTTGAGACTGAAATCACATCTTCTCAGCTGCAACACCCAATTAAAGCCTTCTTCCTTGGCAATAAGCATTATATTAATGATTGGCTTTCTATGCAGCAAACAGCAGGACCTAGACCAAACCCCTGGTATTTTGGTAACAAAATAAGCAACAGGGGAGCCCCTGGGAAAAGAAGTCCTAAAGATGCTGCCCACTTGTAGACAGGAAAAATGACAATGGCTACTTTGGCTACTTCTGGCCTTGTGAGTGGGCTCCTCCAGCCCTAAAGGATACTTAGGCTGTATCCAGAAATAACCATGGTCGGGATTTTCCCTGCTGATGAGCATGGACCCTAGAGTAACATTTTTCTCGTTATAATAGTAAAAACAGTATTGACTAAATGAATACTATTTACTAGTATTAAAAATCTCTGTCCAGGAGATTTTAAATACTAATAAGATACGTGACATGTTTACTTGCACTAGCATATAGGACCACAGAGCATACATGCCCAAAGGGACCTCCCAAAACATGCTTGCAAGGAACACCCCCTCATGCCCCTTTATGAATAATCATGTAAGATTCTCATAAAAAGAATCCTTCAGCACTAGCTTCTGCTGACTCATTCTTTCAAGCATTAGACTCTGTTTTATCTTTCAGAATGTACTGTCTCTTTAAACGAACCCTGCTACTATCATTTTTCCAGCAGAAACAGCCACGAGCTGTTTTTCAGCAGGATCAGCCCAGCCAGAGCTGTTTGCCACTCTAAAAATGTACTTTATCTCCCTTCAATAAACTATACATCTCTTGGCTGAATTCTTTCTTTCAAGTTAGAGAAGAACTGAGAATCCCCACACTTCCCAGTAAAAGGTAACAGAGACAAAAACTGCAAGTCCTGTTGCCTGGGCAAGTGCAATAGAAAAACCTTTGACCTCTAAAAACACCTGGAATCAAGGAATCCTTCCCTTGGAACCAAGAAGACTGGAATATGACCAGAACCTGAACACCAGAACTCTTTCAGTCACAAGGAAACCCTTAACCTAGAAGATGTGGAGCTAAAATTTACCTCTACATACTTTAAACGGCCAAATTTGAAGCTCTTGAACCAGACTGTGCCAAGTCAAAATTCCTAAATCCTTTCCCTTGCCCTCTAAATCATCAACTTTCCCCAGACCCAAAGTTAGGGAGACAGATTTCAGCCCACTCCCCTCTCCTTGCTGGCAGGTTTTCCTTTAAAGCTTTTCTTTTCTTAAAAGACCCCATGCCATGGTATTGGCTTCTGTGTGCAGGGAGAAACAAGCCTATTCTCTAGGTAACATGGCCAATAGCCTAGCCAACGAAGGGTAATAGGACATTTCCTAAAGGAAGTGACTTTGTATTTTTTCCTATCAAAATATAATTATCATATCTGTTTTTAAGTAGTGAATGCATACATGAACAAAATTTAAAAGATACGCAAGTACATTTCAAAAGTAAATCTACCCCTTACTCACTTCCCTTAGTCATCCTTTCTCTTCTCTAGATACAAACACAGCAATCAGTGTGTCAGGCCCAGGAACTGTTTGTGGAGAGGCATTCCTGAGATAGGGGGAAGGGAAGCAGGCATACATATAAATGTACAGAGCCATGAAAAATGAAGATTTTAGCAATTACAAATAAATATTTCAGAAATTCTTGAGGAAAATGGTATATGTGAGGAGAGAAAGAAAAGCTGGTATGAGAGTAGATTGGAGATAACATATAGCTGTTTTTGAAGGTCTAGAAGCTCTTTTCTATTCTACAGTATTTCAAATGTTTCTCATCATACATACATTTGATATATCTCCTGAACACAACAGGATTAAACCTATCTTAATTGAATATCTATTGAGTACGAGGCATGAGTATAAAAAATATAAGCAAAATATGGACTTTGCCTTTCAGGTATTCATGATTAGTTGAGGCAAATGAAAATATGACACTATATGTTGGTGATAAATAATTAAAAACAAAATCTCCTCCCAACCTGGGAAGCTTCTCTACAACATAAAAGAAAGAACACAGTTGTATTATTGAATAAGCATTAAACCAGATTGTAGGTGTGCTAAGATATCGCAAAACAGAAATAAATCTCATTATTTTATATAGCCAAGCAGATACAATCCATTATGTACATGTTCTCAAGATAAATAATAACTAGTCTTCAAGTGCTAGATAGGACTTGACAGCACTATTTGTTACACATAGTTCATCCTAAATTCACTGGATACTTGGAATGATGTTCTGTGTATTATCCAAAGGAAAAATAAATTATCATATCTTTATAACATAAGATAGTTTTGCAATTTTAAGCTAAATACCTTCTGAAGCTAGGTTTCCACCCACCCACAGAAATTGGGAGATGGGCACTATGTTCTTTGATGATGAAGACATTTCAATGAGATGGTCCCCAGGTCATAGAGTAAGACATTCCCGAGCCTTTCACCAGGCAAGAGGCTTATTTGACATTTAAAAAGATTTACACACATTTTTAAAGACACAAACAAAAATTTCCATCTGCAAGTTTTCTAAAGTAAATGCCCTAAGAAAGGGAGGGGATGGATGTCTCTTCCCGTATTTTCAACAAAGAGAATTGTTTCTTTTCCAATTTGTATTTACCCAGACAATACACTCCTTGTTAGTATAAAATAGTGACACTACAAATTTCTGACTTCATTGCTATTTTCATCTTTCTCTGGACAAGTTGCAGCCCTCTAAATAACCCGAAAGTCGACAGTAACATACAACACAATGCAATTGCCAGAAATCTGATAAAACAACAAAACAAGTACATTTTTAAAAGTCTCTACACTATTGGTTGTAGGAATAAGCTTTGAATTTATCATATAAATAGATAATGGTTACATCAGATTCTTAACTAGTGTGATGGTTAACTTTATGTATCTACTTCAGTGGTCCAGGATATGCCGAAACAGCTGCTTAAACATTATTTCTGAGCATGTTTGTAAGGCTGTTTCTGGAAGAGATGGGTTTATGTTGGACTAAGTAAAGCAGATCCTCCCACCACAATGCAAGGGGGCATCATCCAATCCCTTGAGGGTCTGAATGTTAGGTTGGTGCAATAAAAAGGCAGAGGAAGGCTAGGTGCAGTGGCTCACACCTGTAATCCCAGCACTTTGGGAGGCCGAAGTGGGCAGATCACGAGGTCAGGAGTTTGAGAACAGCCTGGCCAACATAGTGAAACCCCATCTCTACTAAAAATACAAAAACTAGCCAAGCGTGGTGGTGTGCGCCTGTAGTCCCAGCTATTCGGGAGGCTGAGGCACAAGAATCACTTGAATGAGGGAAGAAAGCCAAGACTGCACCATTTCATTCCAGCCCTGGGGGACAGAGTGAGACTCTGTTTCAAAAAAAAAAAAAAAAAGATAGAGGAAGGACAAATTTGCTTCTGTTTGAACTGGGGCATGAATCTTTTCCTGTCCTTGGACATTGGCACTCCAGGTTCTCAGGCCTTCACACTCAGACTGAATTATACCTTCTCATATACATACATACATAAATCTTCTCATATACATACATATATCCATATCCATATACTATAAGCTCTGTCTCTCTGTAGAAGCCTGAATAATATAATTAGCAATGCAGAAAACTTTCCTTAGTTACACAATTATTTTTAAAATTGCTGTGATGACCTTATTGCTTGTATTTTCAAATGGGTAATATCTAGGTATTATTTGGCAGTTCCTTGTAAAGCATTATCCAATCTAAAACTAGAAAGTAGCTTTACAGTGAAACCTGATGATCTAAAAGTTTTCCTTGCAAGGCCACCCCCCAAAAAATTTTGAGTTTCAGTCAATCACATAAGTTCCATTACATTTTTATGAAAATGTAGGTCTTTTAGTAATTGTTCTGTCTTCCCAAATAATAGTTCTCTGATGTGTGACGTAAAGATATGAATAGTCTTCAACTACTATCAAAGCCTCATTATGAGGTAGCTGTTGAATGGGACAGAGTAAAGTTCCAGTGCTTCATGTGTAAGGTTCTCATTAAGTGTTGAGGACAAACCTGTCTTATGGGCCTTTTTTTTCTTGCATTGGGCCTTAATCAATAGTCATACTTTTGTAGCAGTTGACTAAATCTACATTAATGACAGATATTCACCTTTGTTTATTTAAGTATTTTGAGATTGGACACAACTTGGATCTCTAAGTTAATTGAATGACATTAGACCTGTCTTTTCAACCTCTATGTGTAAATGCTAGATTTCTGTTTGTCTACTATTAATTTTTTTCTACCTCATGCTCCAATCAAATCAGTGAAAACATTTTTGTATCAAATTTAGGGCCCAAGTACTTGCATGCATTTTAGCTACTTTTACCTAAAATAGCTAAAATGTTATTATCAAAAATGACTAATGAAGATTTTTTCATTTTTACTTTATAAATAATCAGATTTTTCAATTTGTAAATCAAAACCTATTTATATGGAGTACAATTTGGAGCTGATCGGAAATGAGATTGTGGGAACCATTACTGGGAGTACAGAAAGAAAAAGTAATGTAAAAAATAAATTTGTTTTCTAGAAAAACGTGATCCTTAAAGTAACTGAAACCACCGTGCTATGAATGAGACAGCAAGGCAGTCTATGAAACTAGTAATATGTTTGCAAGAATACCTCTTCAGTTGAGTTCAGTACCAATATCAATAACTTCTGAAAATTTCAAGTCCAAATTCCTTGTGGAATCCTCAGTCCAGTCACTCTAAGGAGTTGGCTTCTTATAAGAAACACAAATCAAGTTTTCAAGTTGTTGTTGGTTTAAGGTCATTATTATTTTCACATAGATAGTCCTGTGGGTGATCATCAACATTTCAAAAAGTCTGTTCCAATGCAATTATCTTTACTGGGGGAGACTTTTATGTAAATAAAATCTCCTGGTTAACGTAGGTGGCTGACTTCTTCCAGCAGATTCTTCCATGTCCTTGCCACTTTAAGTCTCACGGTTCCTAGGGAAAAGTCCTTTTAAGTATTGAACATGACTTTTAAAGGATTCAGTTAAATAAAGTGCAAAACATGATCCTAGACCTAAATTCACAGGCCTTCCAAAGATAAATTCAAAGGGAGAGATTCTGTGCTTGCTTATAGAGATCACTCTAATTTCAAACAAGGCTAGTGGTAAAGCTCTAGGCCATCTTGGTATACCAGGTTTCAGAATCTTAGCTAATGAATTTTTTAAGAGTTTGATTTATTTACTCTATTTTCCAGAAGACTGAGGATTATAGGAATCTGTAAACATTTGCATAATTCCTGAATGACACTACAGATAAAATGACTTTGTCTGTCATTTAAATGTTCTGGTAACCCAAAAGTGGAAATTATGTTTATTAAGACAGTCTTTACCACTGCCCGAGCAAGGGGTTTTTTGAATAGGGAACGACTTAAGGACAACTGGACATCATACACATCATAGCAAGACAAAATCTCTTAACTTTTATATGCATTCGTTTTATGAAATGTAACTGCTACCTGGTTCCTGGTGAAGTTTGTCAGGGACAGCGAATGCTTATCTTGGGAGCAGCCTGTAAAGAATTCTGCTGACAAATAGTACATCTCTTTAGTATGTTTTGCAGTAATTTTATCTTTGTGGTAAGCTTGTGAAGAGTCTAGCATTTTTAAAATCTGCCTTTTATTTAGATGATTTTGTTAGTGATGCATAATATTAACTAAGCAGATAGGGACCATGGTATAGGAATTATTTTCTTAGGTCATTTCCATAGTTCAGTCAAGTTTCTTTCAGCCTCTTTTATAATCCATCTTCTTTTTGGAAGCATATTTTTGAAAACAAACAAGCATTTTTTATTGTATTAAAAGTAGAGCTTCTAAGTTTGGAATCTGCAATGTTTTACCAGTGGCTTTTGCAACTCTGTCAGCAGAATGAATTACTAACATCTGAGCAAGCAGTGGTAAAACCTCTAACAAATCAGCAATCAGTTTCCATGAGATATTTTTATTCCAATAGAAGTAAAAAATATTCTAGTCAAAAAATTTGCTTTGTTGCATGATAGATGCCAAACATAAACCTATTAGTAGTATATTATATATTCATTTTAAATCCAGAACAAAGTTGCTTTAGTGATAGCTATTGTCAGCTTGTGCAGACTTATTTCCAGACAAAAAGTAATTGTTCAAGTTTCAGTGATAAATCACCACAGCTTAGGACACCTTAAATTTGTCACTATTATCCCAAGTACATAGCCCATCAGTAAACATTAGTAAATATGCAATATTAAAATGAATATTAGATAAATCATGATGAGTATTTTTTTTAAAATTGTAATCACCAAAGCTGGGGAAGAAACTATAGCCAACTTCAATTTTCAAAAGCCCTTCAGATTCTAGGGACCAAACTGGAAGATCTGGAGAATTATCATGCAGTTTTTTTCCAGCAAAGGTTTTGCCTCCTCTGCAAAATGAAATCCACTGTCCATAATACTGTACTATTATCAAATAATTGTCTGTTTTTAAGTTTTTATTTAAGTCATTTTATGTAAAATGGACTTCTAGATTATGAAACTACTAGACGTAACTACTAGATTCCATGGCCCACGGCTCATAACTGACACCCTAAATATTTTTATTTCGTTTAGCAAAATTGCAATTGTTCTATTGAAACCTTATGCTTTTGTGAAGCAAATAATTATTTCAAAGCCAAGTTATCAATTTTATATTGCTTTTAGCTTCTTATACTACCAGCAATCACCTACGTATTGAATAATGTAGATCCAAAGGGATCCCACAGATCCCTTTGGTGGGAAACATATCCATAAATTTTTTATTTTTATTTTATAAATGACTAGAGAAAATAGTAGAGAGAGTTTCAAAATCCTCAAAAAACACTTTGCCATAAATATTGAACTCATTTATAAGCCAAAGCAAATAAGAATTTAGACTTAATGTTTTTTGAGAAAGTTTCAACAAACTACTGGTGAAATCAACTGGGAGACTCACCTACCTTGTGGGTACATCAGTGTAACTTCTCCCAGCTGAGCTTTAGAAGAAAGGATTTAAGTATTGCCATCAAGCAACCCTTTTAGATGGGTTCCATTGTGGAGTATGGAAGGTAGTTGGCTTCCCTTGGCCACAATACCCTTTGATGTGGTATCTTCTGGACGCTGATGCATTTGAAACTTAAAAGAAGTAAAGTCTGCTTTTTGCATAATTCCACACAGTAGCTAGTGCATGTCTCTGTTCATGAGGTTTAGACTGATAACATGCTCCGGTGTATGTCTGTATATTTCTGGGTCACAGAAAAAAGAAACCTTTAAATGAGTAAAATCAGCTGGTGAGAAATGCATGTGAATTATTCAGGAGTCCTGGGTAGTTTCTCAATGTCATCAGCTTTGTGGGCAATCTAAATAGGAAAGGCTAATTTTTGTGACACTTTGGTCTCCCTCCCCATGCTAACGTTCATCAGCTTAACACCTTGCTTGCCTTTTGTAGGTGACTAGTGCAGCTACTCTCCATCCTGTTGCCTTTATATGGGGGCAGTCTATTATCCAAGTTCTCAATTATTTCCTGATATGTCTCTTTCCTAGCCATGTGGTGTGTGGATGAGACAGGATTCTTGGAGGTGGAATTTGAGCTAAGCTATGAAGTTGACTCAATGTTAGGCTATGAGGCATAGAAACCTGTGCCCTTAAACGGGACTGATAATTCATTGTTGGATAAAGAAACTGTGTGCTCATCTCTGTAGGATCCTTCACTAACAAAGAAAACTATCACCTAAAAGATCATCACCTACCCTTCCAGGAAGTCAATTTGAATCTGAGCGAGATAAAGACAGGGAAATCAGAGATTGAAGATGTGAGGAAAGAAATGAGAGGAGGAGGGTGCTGTGAAAGAGAAAGCGTTTTTAATCCTCACATTTCCTCTTCTATTTTTCTCAATCTCTTCTTCTAACCATCCAAATCATCTTAACTTTTTCCCTTAGAGTTATATTCACCTCATAAATGCCAGTAGTTTAGTTGCTTAGAATGAGGCCTAAGAACCCCAGAAAAGAAGTTAATTAATTCATCCAAATCAAAATAATTGCCCTGAGGCAACTGAAAAACTGGATTGTCATTTATCCATTCCAAATATGACAGAGTGATATTACTCCTTTATGAGAAAGACCTGAAGATGACATTCTGGGGTTCCCGTATTTTCCAACCATATGGTGATCCTGACAGGATTTTAGAGCCTGGATCATCCATGTCTACTCAGTAGCAATATCTTGAATTTTGAGAGGGTGGTCTTCCAACTTGTATTCCAAAAGAATGGAAAGGTAGAAGGGAGACTTTTAATAATTTGAGGACTCTTACCTGACTGTTGCATGGCCACAGACCTTCAACTCATCTGCTCAATTCAGTAACTGTCAGTCATCTCACCCTTTTCACCAGAATTGTTGGGGAAATACAATTTAAAAAAATCTTCTCCCAACACAGAAAACTTCTTTACAAAGAAAAGAAAAAAAAAGTTTTTTTTTTTAAATCGAATGAGCATTAAACCAGAATGTTAATTTACCAAGAGATTGCAAAGACAGAAAGATGTCTCATCCTTTTATACAGCCAAACAGATACAACCCATTACATACGTACTCTCAAGATAAACAGTAACTAGTCCTCAAGTAAGAGGACTTGACAGCACCATTTGTCACACATAGTTCATCTTAAATTCACTTGGTAATTGGTGACCATCTGTGTTAGTTAATTAGCTTTATCCAAAGGAAAAATAAGCTTCCTACATCTTTAGGACAAGTTTTGTAACTTAAAGCTAAATTCCCTCCAAAGTTAAGCTCTTAACCTCTCGCAGAAACTGGAAGATGGGGCACTATATTTCTTGATGACATTGCAAGAAGATAGTTCTCAAGTATTTGAGAAAAACATTCCTGAGTCTCAAAGCTAGCAATAAGCTTATTTAGCTTTTAAAAAAGATTTACATACATTTTAAAAAGACAGGAAAATAAATTTCACTTACAAGTTTTCTAAAACAAATTATCTAAGAAATAAGAGTGGAAGTCAAATTTTTTCTCTTATTTTTAACGGGAATTTTTTTTTCCTATTTATATTTTCCCTTACACAGACAAGTATCTTAGTGCAGATAGACAAGACATGCTATGGAAGGGCAAAGTCATTCTTGAGAATAATTAAAGTTACTAAAAATTAAAACTAGGTTTTAAAATATGAGTTGGAGAAAATCATTGAGCAGACATGTAGGGCATGCCAAGAAATATTGATTAATGAAGATTATCAACATCTAAATATCCCACAAGTTTTTTTGAATACTCACAATTTTGTATTCATTTCTTAAAATGGTTGAGACCTATTGTAACAAAATATGTCTAGTTAGATACGAGTCACATAATTTTTTTGTTGTTGTTTGTTTGCCCTTGGTTTGTGTTCTTTGTACTCAGCACTACTGTCTATCATTCCACTGGGAATTTTACTTACATTATCCGCTATTCTCAAAATACACATCTAATTTGGGAGTTACAATTCATGCTTAAGAGGTAAGATTAGTAGATAATTGTACGCAGGAAGTGTACAACTTTTTTCAGATAACCAGATAACGCTTCCTGCTATTTCATATTCTCTCACAGATTTTCTGTAAAAATTTTATGTAGAGAGAAGTTACATACACATACATGCACACATATGCACATTTAGGGATGATTTCCTTGTGAGTATTTGCACGTGTTTCTTTAGGAGAAGTCATAATACTAAGAAAAAGTTTTTATTCACAATGACACTGCTTAGCTTCAATGAAAATTTGAGTCAGCATCTGCTTTTTGTGTTGTTTTGGTTGTTTTTATTTTACTATATGACTCTGAGTGATGACGGTTCCCAATTTAGCTGGGCTTTGTGGAACACTAAATGTACTCTAACCCTAGCTAAAATAAGCAACACCCTTTTAACCACTCTGACCCTTGTAGAAAAAGAAAGATGGAAGTAAGCATTGCTGTTTAATTGTAGAGGAGTAGAAATGAAGCAAATAACCCCAAAGGCGATTCTGGTTTTTCTTTTATCAAATATTCTGCCTCTGCATCCTAAAATTGGAAACAAAAAAAGAATGTTCTCACTGCTTCTATTCAACATTCTACTACTTCTATTTAACACTATTCTAACTAGGACAGTTAGATAAGCAAACAAAAAGAGAGCAGCAAGACTAACAGAATGAGTAAAACAACTTTTATATGCAGTTGATGTAATTTTCTATATAGTAAATACCAGGTAATCCACTGAAAACTATAGAACAAATAAAGTAGCAAGGTTGCATGATACCAGATCAATGTATAAAAATGAATCCTATTTTTTTTTTTTTTTTTTGAGAGGAAGTCTCCCTCTGTCGCCCAGGCTGGTGTGCAGAGATGCGATCTCGGCTCACTGCAACCTCCGCCTCCCAGGTTCAAGCAATTCTCCTGCCTCAGTCTCCCAAGTAGCTGGGACTACAGGCATGCACCAACATGCCCAGCTAATTTTTCGTATGTTTTAGTAGAGATGGGGTTTCATCGTGTTAGGCAGAATGGTCTCCATCTCCTGACCTCGTTATCTGCCCGCCTCGGCCTCCCAAAGTGCTGGAATTACAGGCGTGAGCCACTGTGCCCGGCCAAATGAATCTTATTTCTATGTAATAGGAAGGAACATTCTGAAAGTAAGATCAATAAAACAATTACCTTTACAATAGTATCAAAAAGAGTAAAACACTTAAGAATTAGCTTAACAAAAGAAGTGTGAAACATATGCTCTGCAAGCAAGAAAATATCATTGAAAAAAAGTTAAAGACCTGAATTAATGGAAGACATCCAATGCTCATGGACCAGGAGACTTATTATTGTTAAGATGACAATAGTACTGTACAAATGAATCTACAGATTCAATGCAATACCTAACAAAATCCTAGGTTTTTCTTTTTTTTTGGTTTTTGATTTTTTTTTTTTTTTTTTTTTTTTTTTTGCAGAAATTACCAAGCTAGTTCCATATTCATGTGGAAATTTAATAGACCCAGAGTAGCCAGGACAACACTGGAAAGGAAAAGGAAATTTAGAGCACTCAAACTTACTGATTTCAGACCTTACTATAAAGACAATAATCAAGACAGTGTGCTACTGATGTAAAGATAAACACATATATCAAAGGAATTGAATTCAGAGTCCAGAAATAAACCTATACAATTATGGTCAATTATTTTTTGAAAAGGATGCCAAGAACATTCAACGGGGAAAGAATACACTTTTCAACAAATAGGGCTAATACACAAGCAAAGCAATAAAGAAGTTGGATGCATTCTTCATACCATAAATAAAAATTACTTCAGAATAAATCATAGTACAAAATGTTTATAGTACAAAATGTAATGGCAAAAATTACAAAATTTATAAGAAAATATAGGAGCAGATCTTTGTGACCTTGAATTAAGAAAACGGATTAGATGTGACATCAAAAGCACAAATGATACAAAATACACAAATTGGACTTTTTCAAAATTAGAAATTTGTGTTGCAAGTGATGTCATTAATAAAGTGATGCCACTCACAGAATAGTAGAAAATATTTAAAAATAATATTATCTGGTAAGGGACTTGTATTACATAGAAACCAGTAAAAACAGTTATAACTCAAAAATAAAACTTAAATAACCCAGTTAAGAAATGGGCAAGGGATGTAAATAGCTATTTCTCCAAGAAAGATATGCAAATGGCCAAATAAGCACAAGAAAAAATACTTAACATCACTAACCATCAGGGAATTCAAATTGAAACCATAGTGTGTGATGTCTTCACCAGCATAACTATAATAAAAAGATAATAATGTGTTGGTAAAAATGTGGAAAAATCATAACTCTTACACTTTGCTGGTGGGAATGTAAAATGTTTCAGCCTCTTTGGAAAATGAACTGGAAGCTCCTTACAAGGTTAAATATAGAATTACAAAGTGACCCTGAATTCCACTCCTGGGCATAAAACCAAGAAAAATAAAAGTATTTGTTCACATAAAAACTTGCACACAAATATTCATAGCAGATTTATTATAATAGTCCCAAAGTAGAAACAACACAAATGTTGATAAACTGCTGTATAGATATATTAAATATCTATACATTGCTATAAATTGCCAAATATCATCTTTAGCAATTGGGGCAGAGGCAAGGGGAACATTACCTAGTATTCGAGTGTCTTGATTATGTGCAGACTATGTCTAATTCCGTAAGATAATACATTAATTGCCCACTTGAATTGCCACTTGAATAATCTGAAAATTTAGAAAAGTTTATTAGTATGGCATACATTGCAGAGTATGGTTTGGCTTTCTCATATTGGCCTATATAATGCACACACAGATTATTGATTTTCAGTTAATTAGCTGAATATTTTATATAGCATATCAAGAGCTCTGATGGGTGATTTTGGACAATTTTCATCTTGACTTTTGCCCAAATAAAAATATATCTTATTTTTATTTACAAAATCTGTTTAGAGATACACACCAGAATCAAATTGTTAATTGATGTGTTTAAATATTAATGGATGATTATAGTTGGTTAAGGAATGACTTTAGAATTTGTATTCTCTGTGGAAATACATTTGCTAGTTTGATGGAACCTTTTAGTTTTACATTAGGGGAATATTTTTACTGTTAGAATATGTATGTCCCTTATGGAATGCCAAACTTAACAAAATTTGTATGAAATTATTTCTCTTTTTATTCCATCAAAATTTTATTCTCATCTGACAGGTTTTACGGTAGAGAAGTTTTTTATAGCAATCAAAATAAAGTAGAATTTTAATTTGACAGAGAAAGTATAAACTTGATTCAAAGAAAAAAAGATTTCCATAAAACAATTAACTGCATTTTGTAAAAGTGAAGTCAGTTTCATTATAGTTTGATTTTAACCCTCTCTTAAATTTTGACTTTCTAGGCGTTAATTCTGGAATATTTTCTAAAACTGTGGTTTCATGATTGCAAGCCTAGACTGGTGCCCATCATTATCACTTTTGGTAAAGGTATAGGATCTGAGTTAAAAAAGAAAAAAGAAATTAAGTGTGAAATGTATCTTGCAAGAGTCAATTCTAGATGCCTACTCACTAGCTGTTTTCTTCTCCCTTTTTTCTTGAACGACATTTTCTTCTGCATGTGTCTGTGGCAGCAGCCTACTCTAGTCCAGTAAAGTCATAGAAAAGAACATAGTAGGAAAAAAGGCATATGTGACAATGTAATACTGGAATTTTCAAACAGACATTTTACCATGATATAACAGGTCTTAGAAAAATATGTTCCAGCAAATGAGGATGGCAGAGCAGAAATGTACAAAAAATATGCATCTTTGACAAAACACTGAAGCTTCCGAAAGACTCCTTACCGGTACACACCTTCTGACTCTGTTAAGTACTCAGTTATTTTCTTATTATTTAACTTATGGTTAGGCAGATATTCTGATACTAGCCATTGAAAGATCTCCTAACTGAGGCGAATTTCATGTATCCACATTCATCTTTGTATACAAAGTAAGAAAAATAGTTTATCATCCTGAAAAGCAATTTCATATGATCTCAATGTTTGCTACTTATGCATAACAGAAAAGAATCTATTATTTTAGCATGATTCAAAATGTGTTTTATTAAATTAATTTGAAGGTAGTCACAGACAATAAAATTGGTCAGATTTTGAATCTATATTTTTTAATATAGTACAATATTATTGTTAAAAAAGGATGAAATTATCCTCTGGGTCAGAATATAATCTTACAGAAAATGCAAGCCATTATATAAAAACAGAGTTGCTTTGATGAAAGATAGAAAGGGATATTGTACCATATTCAAGTCTGACTTTTTTCATTTTCCTTTGTGTAACTCAGTTTGAAATTATGTCCTATAATATTCTATTTTCCTATCTAACTTCTATTCATTCTCTGAAATGAATTTCAAACTTGGTCTCCAATTGTAGGTAAAGTTTCACAGTGCAATGTTTTACATGACTTGCAAGCAAGTTTCAGCTATGCCTAATGTGTATTTACTTATGGAGAAATATATCAAATGTAGTGTAATAGTGCTTGGAGCCTCATTGACTTCTCACTGTCTTCTCCTGCCCTTCCTTGTCTTTCACAACAGTAGATAATATTTTGTCTGTCTCTTGATGGCTTAGATCTATTCATATAATGAGCCAGTGCTAGTTTATTAGAATACATTTTCCCATTTAGTGAATATAAGCTAGAAAAATTTACCTACAAAATCTCAGTGTCTGATAATTCCTTTTATACAATGTTCTCAACTTTTGTGGCTAGTTCAACTTATTGGTCTCATTTCCAGTCTCCTAACTGCTGATTCTCACTCCAAGCACTTGTGTGGATTTGAGTCTATCTTGAGCCTCAATTGAATTCACTTGTGCAAAAGATCTGTGCACTAGTTACCGTTATTTTCTTTCCTGAGGCTGAACCTTGATTGTCTTCAGCAGTGCTCCCTTGGAAACCTTGCAGTTTTAGAGGCAGAGCAAGATGGCAGAGGAGGAGGCTCCACCGATTATTCCCACCCCCACCCCCACCACCTCCCCACAAGGACACCAATTTAATAAATATTTACAGAGAAAAAAACACCATTATAACAATAAAAAATCAGGCGAGTCCTCATAGTACTTGGTTTTATCTTCATATTGCTGAAAGGGGCACTGAAGGCTTAGGGAAAACAGCTCTGAGTCTCTAAGTAAACCTGAAAGGCAGTCTAGGCCATAAAGTTTGTGAAGTAAAGACACTTCATTCAGCTGTTTCATTTATTATTAAATGCCTGCAACTCAGGCAAGTCCTAGCACTGAACTGGGTCCAGAGACAGTGGGTTGGGGAAGGGGGGCATGCAACCTACTGAGACATGAGCTGGGGCAGCTAAGAGAGTACTGGCATCACCCTTCTCCTAGCCCCAGGCTGCACAGCTCCTGGCTCCAAAAGAGACCCCTTCCTTCTGCTTGAGGAGAAGAAAGAGTGGGGAGGACTTTGTCTTGAATCTGGGATACCAGCTCTGCCACAGCAAGGATAGGGCACTGGTCAAAGTCATGAGATCCCTGTTCCAGGCCCTAGCTCCTGAACATTTCTAAACACACTGTGGCCCAGAAGGAAGCCAATTGTATTGAAGGAAAGAACCCAGACCTGGCAGCATTCATCAGCTGCTAATTGAAGAGGGCTTGGGCCCTGAATAACCAGCAGTCATACCCAGGTACTACATCAAGGGCCTTCAGTGACCTCCTAAGACTTGCTGGCTTCATATGAGACTCGGCACATTGTCAGCTGTGGTACCTACAGAGTGAAATTCCTTCTGCTTGAGAAAAGCAGAGGAAAAAGTAAAAGCGACTTTGTTTTTCATCTTAGGTACCAGCACAACCACAGTGGGGTAGAGCACCAAGTGAGCTTTTGGGGTCCCCGATTTTAGGACTTGACTCTTGAATGGCATTTCTGGACTTTCCCTGAGCCAGAAGGGAGCCCACTCCCCTGAAGTGTGAGTACCAGGCCAGGTAGGATTCACCACAAGCTGACTGAAGAGCCTCAAGTAAGCCTGAAGAACTTTAAGGAAATATTGATGGTAATCTGGCAGTACTCCCTTTGGCTGATGGTGGTGGTGGCTAAGGAGCGAAGCTCCTCTGCCTTTGGAAAATGGAGGGAAGAGTGAGAAGGATTGTGTCTTGTGGTTTGAGTGCCAGCTCAACTACAGTACAATAGAATATCAGGTAGACTTTTAAGGTTTCTGACTCTAGTTCTTGACTCCCAGATGGAACCTCTGGAGCCACTTGTATCCTGAAAGGAAGGAAACAGGCCTGGCTGACTTTGCCACCTGCAGATTGTAAAGCTGCAGGACCTTGAGTGAACTTAGGCAGTAGCCAGGGAGTGGTTACAACAGGTCTTAGGTGAGACTCAGTGCTGTGCTGGGTTCAGGTCTGAGCCAGCACCATCGTAGTAGTGGTGGCCACAGAGGTGCTTGTGTCAAACCACGCCTAGCTTTAAGTGGGTCAGAACAAAGACAGAGACTGCATTTGTTTAGAAGAAAGTAGAAGAGAACAAGAGTCTCTGCTTGGTAATTCAGAGAACTATCCTGGATCTTATCCGAGACTATCAAGGCAGTTACTCTACTAACCTGCAAGAACCACAGCATTACTGAGCTTAGAGTGCCTCCCAAAGCAGATAGAGATTACATCATAACACTCAAGTCCTTTCAAACATCTGGAAAGCCTTCCCAAGAAGAACACATACAAAGAAGCCCAGACAGTGAAGACTAAAATACATACATCAGTCTTCAATGCACAGACATCAAAGAGCATCTACTAGCATCAACACCATCCAGGAAAACATGACCTCGCCAAATGAACTAAATAAACCATGAGGGATCAATCCTGAAGAAACAGAGATATGTGACCTTTCAGACAGAGAATTCAAAATAACTGTGCTGAGGAAATCAAATGAAATTCAAGATAACACAGGGAGGACATTCAGAATTCTATCAGATACATTTAATAAAGAGATTGAAATAACTACAAAGAATCAACCAGGAATTCTGTAGCCGACAAATGCAATTGGCATACTAAAGAATATATCACAGTCTTTTAACAGCAGAATTGATCAAGCAGAAAAAAGATTTAGTGAGCCTAAATATAGGCTATTTGAAAATACAGTCAGAGGAGACAAAAGAAAAACTTGTGTACAATTGTATGTGTTTTGCTTAATAATGTCTACTTTGCTTAATAGTCAGTGACTGTTACTGGTTTATGTATTTACTATACTATACTTTCTACCATTATTTTAGAGTGTACTTCTTATAATTATATTCAAAAAGTTAACTGTAAAACAACCTGAGGTGAGTCCTTCAGGAAATATTCCAGAGGAAGGCGTTGTTATCATAGCAGACAATGGCTCCATGGATCTCATTGCCCTACAGTTTTTCTCATGGGACAAGATGTGAAGGTGGAAGACAGTGGTATTGATGGTCCTTACCCTGTGTAAGCCTACGCTACTGTGTGTGCTTGTATCTTAGTTTTAACAAAACAGTGTTAAAACCAAAAAAAAAAAAGTTTTAAATTAAAAATAGAAAAAAGGAATAGAATATAAAGAATGAAATATTTTTGTACAGCTGTACTGTGTCTTTATGTTTTAAACTGAGTGTTATTACAAAAAAAGGAAAAAGGTTAAAAAATGAAAAGGTTTATAAAGTAAAAACATTACATTCAGCTGATTCATCGATTATTGCATGTGTATATTTTAAAACAAATGTAGTGTAGCCTAAGTGTACAGTGTTTATAAAGTCTACATTAGTGTGCAGTAAATGTCCTAGGCCTTCACTTGGACTCACCACTTACTGACTCACCCAGAGAAACTTCTAGGTCGGCAAGATTCATTCATGGTAAGTTCCCTTTAAAAGTTTAACACTTTTTTTGGCCTATTATACCATATTTTTATTGTTATCTTTTCTATGTTTAGGTATGTTTAAATATACAAGTATTTATTATTGTGTTACAGCTGCCAACAGTATTCAGTACAAAAACATACTGCACACATTCGTAGCCTGGGAGCAATAGGGTATACCACATAGCTTAGATGTGTAATAGGCTATTACACTGAGGTTTGTGTAAGTACACTCCATGAGGTGCACACAACAAAATCACATACTGACACATTTCTTAGAGTGGATCCTGATTTTTAAGGAATGCATGACTGTATTGAGGATAATTTCTTTCCAAGTGAACATGCAATGTTACAGTATTGTTGAAATGACTAACTTTCCCAATTGAATCATGTTGGCATTGTTATCAAAAAAGAAAATGGCCAAATATGTATGACTTTTTGTGGACTCTCTTTTCCATTCAATTAATATATGTGGCTATTCTTACATTATGTATTCGTTTATTATGGCTGCTGTAAGAAGATACCACAAACTAGGTGTCTTAAACCACAGAAATTTGTTGTCTCACAGTTCTAGAGGTTAGAAGTCCAAGACTGTCAGCACTATGTTCCTTGAAAGCAGTAGGGAAGAATTTGTTCCAGGTCTGTCTTAGCTACTGATGGTTCCTTGGCCTGGGGAAGGATAATTCCAATCTTCAAATGGCATTCTTCCTATTTGCAGACTTTACCAAATTTTTCCCTTTCATGAGGATACCAGTTATATTGAGTTAGAACCTATCCTAATGACCTCACTTTAAATTGATTACCTATGTGAGCACTCTTTTTTCAAAGAAGATCACATTCTAAATTGTTGGGGATGCAATCATATCTTTCTTTGTAAGAGGGCGTGACACAAATCAACCCATATTGCACCATTACAATAGTTTTAATGACTGTAGCATTACAGTAAGTCTTGAAATCAGGAAAATGTCTCCAGGTATGTCCTTTTTTAAAAACATGACTATAATAAATTAATTCATATTTACATATTTTATTATGATAGACAATATTTATAAAAATAAATGCTAAAATTTTGATTGGGATTTTACAAATTCTTAATTTGGAGAGAATTAAGATCTTAATAATACTGTTTTGCAATTCATGTACAAGGAATATCTCTCCATTTATTTATATTTTATATAGTTTCTGTTATTGTCCTTGGATTGCACATAATTTGTTACATTGATTTCTGATAATTTCATCTTTTTGATACAATCACAATTAAAATTAACAATCTGTTAACACATCAATAAAATTATTTTGAAGTTATGACAGTTGTAATGATGGTTACAACATCATATCTGAGTCTGACTGATTTCACTGTTTTATTTGCTTGCAATGGGTAATATTTTTGTGTGTGTATGTGTCGTGCAACTTTTGATGGAATGCCTAGACATTGTGTGAAAAAGAATATTAGAGTCTGAGGTTAATAATATTTACATGCAGTATTTTTATATATCGTTTTCTGTCACGTCATTATTGTATGGGTTCAACCTAGTGTGCAGCTGAGCTGAGTTTCATTACTGTTGTTGATGTAGTCATCTTCAGTACACTACAGTCTACAAACACCTCTAGTGATGGTCTACTGCTACCTTGTACCTAGTGTATACCCTGGAGTACCAGAAAGTTTACCTGTTCATGTTCCACCCTCAATATTTTGCCAAAGAGAGGTTTTCTCTCTGTACCTCCTTGCCATCTACATCAGTGGAATGCTTTTGCTGCAAGAACTGTAGTGGTAAAGTGGTCTCTTTATTCATGTTTATTCATCATCAGTGTTAGACAGACCTTGTGCATGAGAAGCTCAGGGGTTATGTGTTCTTAAACTTTCTGTCCCTGCTCCAGTGTCAGATAAACTTTGCTCATTACTCAGTGGTGGATCTGAGCTCAAGCATATTTCTCATATCCTCTGTCCATTTCCCACCCCAGACAACTAATCTATGCCATGTATTGGTGGCAGGAGGCTTTTTGTGCAAACCACATTTCTCCCATTTTTCTGATTGATTTGCAGGATCCTAGACATGATCAGAGTTCTTTACCTCCTCTAGCACCAAAGGGCCTTTGCTTTGTGTCAGTGCAGAATTGGAAGTAGCCTACCCTTTCACCAGTGACAGGTATGCCTGATGTCAGCCAGGAACAAAGAGTAGGTAAGATGGTTTCTGTCCTCCTTCTGAGTGGAGGAAGGCCTTCTCCTCATGTCGGAGAACAGTTACTTCTTCACTGATGGGTTTCTTGCCCTCTCCTCGGGTCAACTCCAATGAGAGTAGACCTGGGTCCCAAACTAGGTTTATGCTTTATACCCCAGTGGCACCCTGTCACCACCTTCTACTCATGAAGGGCCTAGAACACAGATGGGGTTCTGCAGACACTCATGCTGCATGTTCAAATCTAGGCAGGTCTTAAATACCTATGACATCCAAGGGCTCTCTCATGTCACCTGTCCTGTACTCAACATTCTTCACTAGGTAGAGGCTAACAGCAAGAATCCAGTGAGTGCTTGTAGAATCCCTTCATAGGTAGGATCCCCCAGGATCTAATCTGCCATGTTAACCCTCAGCTAACATCTAAGAATGTATTAAAATGTTAGCTTTTCCTTTCTTATGTGCCTTTATTGTAACCAGCTCTTTCTCTTGTTCTCTGCCAATGATTAAATAGCTCTGCCTTTCATTGAGGGAGCTTTGTCACCTTTTGGAAATCAGTTTACTTGTTCAACTTATGACCTCAGCTCTCTGATAGGGTCGAAGTTATGATTTCGTAGATTTTTTACTTTTCTTTCTTGATAGAACATGAATGGCATTCTCTGGGGCTTTCTATGCCATAAGCCACATTGTTAATTTTAAGATGCTTATTAGACATGCAAGTGTAGAATCTGAATAAGTATCTTATATTCATAAGTCAGAAATTCAGGACAGTGGTCCTGCCTTGAGATATACAATTGTGCGTTATCATCATATTGGTGATTTCAAGAGCATGAAATGGGTGAGATTACCAAGGAAATTAGTATAGCTAGAGGCATGAAAATGACCAAATATTAAGCTCTTGAGCACTCCAGTGTTTCGAGTATGTAGAGATAAGATGAGGAAATAGCAAGAGGAATGAAAACAAGAGTATAAAGAAAAGAAACTAGAAAAATAAGATATTTTAGAATGTTGAGTAAAGACAATATTTCAATGAGAAATGGCCAATTAGGTCAAATGCTGTTGATAGGTCACATAGAGGATTAAAAATTAAACCACTGGATTTAGTATCATAGTCTTCTCTGTTGACTTCAGTAAGTATAGTCGTGGTAGACTAGATATTCTGATTGGATAAGGTCAAACGGAAAATAGGAAATGAGAAAAAGAAACTAAAGTGTGTTTTTAAATAATTTGTGCTAAAAAAAGAGAAAGGGGTGAGGAAACAAAAAAGTAATTTTCAGAGAGAAATAATATCTAGTTTTGAGGGTTATGGGAAAGATCCTATCAATCATGAAAAACTAATGCTGCATGTGTGAGAGAAGAGCATTTCTGGAGCAATATTCCTGAATGGATGAAAAGTAGGAAATATAATACACTAATGAAAATGTGTCCTTTGAGAGGAACAGAGAGATAATTTACACCAAATATGAAGAAACGGAGTACATAGATGCAGACACAAGCAGATGAGAAGTTACACAGTGGTGGGAGTTTGTGAATGTTACCTTTTCATTGCTTCTATTATTTTTTTTCTTTTTCTCATTATTTAATTGAAAACAAAAGCAAGGTTATCAGCTGAGAATTAGGGAAAATAAGGAGGTGTACTCGGCTTAAATGGGAGAAAAATATATGAAAACCCAATAGGCAAATGATAAAGTAAGTAGGTTTGGGCAAGATAACTACTTAGCAGCTTTCTAAATCAACTTCAGGTTAGTGGTCACTAATTTCGAGTCAGGATAATCAGCCTGGTTTTGTGTCTTTCTCCAGCCATAATCAGCTATGCAGTTGCAGACATGTAATGGATGAAGATTTGGCACAATCAGGATAGTACTTTAGTAAAGAGAGTTCTGTTAAGTAAGAGATCAGAATTAACCATTTATGTAAGGCAATGATCCTAGTGATTGACTGTGGAATTTAAACTAGATAAGAAGAGAAGCTTAGAGGTGAGATACATGGAAGCATAGAAAAAGTGATAGGGTCAAAATTATTAGAATTAAGAAGTTAGAGAAAGGGAGCATTAGTATATTTGTGTTGCAGGACTCTTCCTTAGTTCAGCTAAAGACGGGGTTCTTTGTCCCGTGGGAACAAAAATTCAGTCTCACAGACAATTCGAATGGTGAGTAAGACAGGGTTTTATTGGGTGAAAAGGAATAAAAGGGGGAAACAGGGACTCTCACTAAGCCAGAGCTCTTGCTAGAGTGCTTCCCACCTCTCAGTTCGAATCCCAGTTCCCCCACCAAAAAGGAGGGGCCAGGTTCCTCCCTGCTGGAAATGGTGCAAACTTCCTGAGGCTCCACCCCAGTGCACAGGCTGGTTGGAATTTTGCCGGGGACCCCCTACCACCGGTTGTCTCATTCCCCCCTCTAAAGAAGTACATCTAACTGCCATTACAATAAAGATAAGGACGAAGACCAATCTTAACTGATTCCTGCTGACAGGGGGCACTGTTTTGGGAAAACGGCAGTCAGAACTCCTTCAGAGACCTATTTAAGGGTTCCTGGTAGAAGGGGCTATCGTCAGAGGCTCCAGTTGGATGACCGTTTGGAGAACAGACAAACTGGGTTATTAGAAAACATGTATCAAAATGAAACAAGGGGAGGGGTAAAAACAGTTCAAAAATCCCGAGGCCTTTTATAAGTTTGCACATGGAGAGGGAGGCCAAAACTTTACATTTTTGTCAGCCTGTTGGGCTTCTGCATTCCCTTCCCCTGAGCCCAATCCTAAGCCACGAGTTTAAGGTTTGGAAAATTAAGTTTTCCCAGTTTGGAGGATGCATCTGAGAGGAGTCTCTCGTAGTACAGAGACACAATTACCTATTAGTAAAGAGAGACCGGAGGAGGAGAAAGAAAAAAGAAGGCATTTTTTAAAGGAGTCCCAAGGATTCAGGATGCATTCAAAAGGGGTACAGACTGAAGATGAATGGCTACCCATGTAGAAAGAGGAGAGCAGGCATCTTTCGTTCCCATCTCTTCCTAGCAGATACCCATGGTAAGTGAGGGAGAGAAGAAAGAGCACCCTCTTTCTCTCATCCGTCCTTGCATCCCCAAGTCCGAGCAACCTTGGCAGATCCTGCCATGAGTGCCAAAGCGGCTTGCACCCACGAAGCAGGAGGGCCTAGGGAGTGGGAATCATCCATTATTACCCATGTACATCCTATCTCCCCTGCTGTCTCTAGCCTTGGAGTCCCCTAGACCTCATTTATGCTGTGGATACTAATGTGGCCTTTACCTATGAAACAGAAAGCTTGGGTTTGGATTAATCAGGAGCAGTCAGCCATGCTCACCTGTGCTGTGCCTTTAAACTTTCATTACTATCTACCTCTGGATCCCTCAGATCCAATTCTCTTTCCTAGGACTTTGACTTGAGGTTTGGAATTGAATTTGAGACAAAAATATGTCTTGGGGGGTTGCGTGGACTTCTCATAAGGAGTCCTTATAAGCTGAATGCTAAGGTGAAACTGTGGAATTGAGTCCTCCTCCAACAACGGAGAGGAAAGGACGTCTTGTGACACACTCAGATAACCAGTGGCTGTAATTATGCTTCCTAAAATTTGGGTGCATGGTGCTTGGCTTTGGTTAGCTCCTTTGGTCTTACTTTCCCAAAAGGAAACCTCTGAGTGATGAGCATCCTATTTATTCCAATCTCCTGGTAGGATTTGCAGGACAGTTGCTCAGAACTGCAATATTGATCGAGATTTTTACATGGCCCATCCCTCTTGTTTTTTCTGAGCTGCAGATGGAGATTGCTGGTTGGTTCACAGGAACAAGCAGGGTTAGTATAAAAGGGTAGGTAAATACTTAAAAACAACTAATGAGTTTAGAATTTAATGAAAAATGCAAGATAAGTTTTGAAACATAATTTCTCTCTCTCCAGTCCTCATTTTTGTTAAAAAAAATCATAACAGGATTGAGTTGTTTTCAAAATAGACTTTAGTCTTATACTTGGCCTGATTATTTGCATAAAGTGCAGCAAGAATAATTATTTCTACATAGGCCTTTTGGATTGGCTTTAAGGGAACTCTGTTCCACAAGGAATCTCAGATAAGAACTTTTTAAGCTGAGTCCAGCCATGCATTTGCATCCTCAAATACCTGTGAGTTGGGTGATCCTTTCCTCTCCAGGTACCATAATAAACTTGGAGTTCCTGGACCTGTTAGAAAGTGACGTTCTGTATTGACTATAGGTCAGGAACCCTATACAGGGACTGTGTAGGCAAGGGAATGAGGTCATTCTCCCTGTGGGGCTTGTATTGGCTCTGCCAGTCAAACTTGACTCCTTAAAGGGAAGCATACACTTCTAGTCAAAGCCTTGGTAAAATAACTAATTTTTCCAATTCCGTCCTCTTGCAAAAGAAAAATTGATTCTTATTGCACTGATGCAAACAATTATATTGCCATAAGAATACTCACAGATAGTTTCCAAATTCTAGAGAAACCAGGCAGAGAGAAACAAACATGCTCCAAATTTTGTTCATGGGAGTACACCTTACTCAATTATTAAAGACCATAAATAGTTTAAAATAAGTTTTGTTAACTCTAAAAGACAAAACACGGATCAGCAATATTCCAAGCAAAGGTTAAAAAGATTGCTTCAGTTCCTGAGTTCAGTCCATTTAGTTAATTCTTGTTCTGCATGATAGTCATGAACACTTCAGCTCTTTATGAGTCCTGTACATTTTCCTTTACTCCAATATCACAATCTCCAAAGTTATCAGAAGCCTGTATTTGAGAGTACCTGTTACAGTTCTGTAGCTTATTATAAACCATCTTTTGAAAAGGATTAAAAAACGACAACAATTGCCTGTGAATAGCAAAATGTCCAGGGTAGTTACAGTTAGAAACAGGATTCACAAAGAAGTTCCGTTATCTCCATGGTTTACAATAACTTAACATAACAACCTTAATTATGATTAATAGCATATACTTCGACATTAAAATTTTAGAAATCCCATACAATTTGGGAACATATATTAGCATTATTCACAAAAATATAACCTAAAGAAGATGGAGCATCATTTTGGCAATCCCATATACATAAACATGTCAAATAATCCTGTCCACCTCTCGTTTCTGGATGTCTCATGGGCCCTCTGATTCATCTGAAAAGCCAGGTGTCAGGAAAGACAATTTTGAAACTAAAGTTTGATTTGGGGAAGGCTGTCAAATATGTTCAAAGTTTAAAACACTTGGTACTATGAAATAGAGTTCCAGATTACCATAAGTTATTTATTTTGCCAAAATGATGATTCACCAATTTTAAAGAAGTAAAAACCTACTATAACCCTTTACAAATTTTGCCGAAAAACAAATTAGCACCTGAAGAAAACCTTGTTATGCTTTTATTTCAATGCTGAGTTTACAGAAAAACTATATAATATCCTTTGAATTTAGTCGGTATGTTCACATAGAGAACCTCTTCTGTAAGATTAAGTTCCACAATTCTTCCACCACTTCTTTTTGAACCTTCAGCTTTTTCCTAATTTGAAACAGTCTTTTAACCCTAGGCAAAAATTTACATTTCCATGCTTTCTTATAATCTTTTACAAAAACAAAAACAAAAAAAACCATATTTTACTGTTCTTACACACCCTCCATGTAAATCTATTTCCAGTAGTCTCAATTACATGTTGTAATGATAATTCCCAGCAATTTTTAATTTTAAGGTAAAACTTGGTAAGTTGCTTTAATTGTGTGCTAAGTGCAGCCAAGGTTTGCCTTCTTAATTATGAGTATGGTTAGTTCTATATGTCCCCAGGCCTTACCAGTTGTGAAGCTGGCCAGTAAAATAGTTATCAAAACCCCAAAAGCAGTTTGTAACCTCCAAATATTTAGCATATCTTGCATCTGACCTGCCAAATTTAGCCCATGTATTTACATCTTAAGTACACCTGCTTTTTACCAATAACCTTTAAGGCCATTTTTATTTCTCAAAGATTAAACTCACGTGAACTGAAAGGTACCACAAATTTTATCTTTCCTTTAAAAAATATTAGATCCAAGTGCTTGTCTTTTTTTAGGCCAAATTAATTAGAGCTCTTTTTACAGACATTACACACAGCATACACACAGACAGGAAGGAGAAAATGCAGTCCCCCTGTGGGGTTCTATAAGAGACAGGGCTAGGAGAATATGCAGGTATCAAACAGGAAAGGAACTTATTCCCTAAGTCAGAATTGCTAAATGAAGACTTGCCACCAGAGTTACAAGACATGGCCTCGGGATGCAAAACAAGATGGAGGCTTAGAAGTTTGCTGGAAACCATACAGACATCCAAAGCACACCAGATTGGTCAAAGCCCAAGACCAGCCCCACAAATCCTTTTTCATAATTAAAGCCTTATAGAGAATATAAACAGTGATAGCTGGGGGGCCTGGCCTAGTAAAACTTTTTCTAAAATCAAATCAAATCAAATAAAAAAAAAACTTGCATAAAGTTAACTGCTGATGGGGTGGAGAAGAGGAAAGAAAAAAGGTTTAAAAATGGCTGGGGAAGAACCTCTTACTCTTATACAACTGGTTCCTCTACCTGGAGAATAGCTTAATACTGTCCAATGGAGTAAAGCCCCTTGGCTGGGGAAGGGGAAGTGAAGGCTCCAGCGGCCTGTGGCGAAAAACACCAGGCAGATGGCTATGCAAGACCCTTGGGCCATGCAGGGAAGGGAGGGCAGAGGGGAGCCACTGCTCACCAGTCTGTCCCAAGAAAGGAAAGAAAAGATCATAGAAAGGCTGGGTTGGTCCCCAACCCCTCCGAGCAACAGGAGGTGGGGGTGCAGTTTTCCATAAGCTTAGAAGTCTGAGGATGAAAAACGACAGTGAGAGATTTTGAGTCCCCATTTCACTCACCGCTTCTGGAGCCCTATGTTGAGCACCAAAAATGTTGCAGGACTTTTCCTTAGTTCAGCTAAAGATGGGGGTCCTTTGTCCTTAGTTCAGCTAAAGATAGACATCCACAAAAATTCAGGCTTGAAGTTAATTTGAATGGTGAGTAAGGCAGGGTTTTATTGGGTGAAAAGGAAGGAAACGGGGAAACAGGGACTGTCACAAGTCCAGAGTCCCTGAAAGGGCACTTCCCGCCTGGCTCACACCTGTAATCCCAGCATTTAGGAGGCCGAGGCAGGCGGATCACGAGGTCAGGAGTTCAAGACCAGCCTCGCCAACATGATGAAACTCCTTCTCTAATAAAATATAAAAATTAGCCGGGTGTGGTGGTGGGCACCTGTAATCCCAGCTACTTGGGAGGCTGAGGCTGAAGAATTGCTTGAAACCAGAAGGTGGAGGTCGCAGTGAGCCAAGATGGAGCCACTGCACTCCAACCTGGGCAACAAAAGTGAAACTCCATCTCAAAAAAAAAAAAAAAAAAAAAATCCCATGTTCCACACAGGAAAAGGAGGGGCCAGGCTCCTCCCAGCTGCAGAGGGCATGAACTTCCAGAGGCTCCACCCCAGTGAGCAGGCCAGTTGGAGTTTTTCCAGGGGTCCCCTTCCACCTGGCTGCCTCATTTGCTTTTCCTGACTGTTTTAAATCTATATTTTATTTCTATATTATTTTATTAGGTATTATATTTGTATGTTGCTTGTCTTTATTTTTGAAAGAAGTCAGTTATGTATAAACTCACTGTAAAAATTTGTAATTTTTTTTAAAGATATAGTCTTTCTTGAGTACTTTAGTTTTCATTAAGATTTCTATAATTTTATTTATATAGCAATTCAATTTCAAATTACAAATTCGTATTTTCTTACATTTTAAAATAATAATGTTTGCTTTTTCACACTTTTGTAAAAATGTCTTGGGAACAGAGAACCATCTTGCACTTATCTCGCTGCTAAAAATTAATTTCAATTTAATTTTAAACAAACACATACATGCAACTATACACTAGATATATATACATTCAAATTTTATTGGCTTATAAGGCAATGATTCATTTTTCTTTTAAGAACTATGTCTGTAGAAAAAGAAAGCGCATACCTTGAGAGGGAAATACACAATAAATAATACTTAATTTTTAAAAACATGTTGAATTGCATGAGGCATGCAAAACAAAAGGGTTGAAAATTTAGTAAAGATGTGATAAGCCATTCCTCAAGGATCCTGAGGACTTGGGAAAGCACGAGATTACAAACATGAGTGCAAGAACCTTTGAAGGAAATGGCATTCTTCTAATGGATGGATGAAGACTGTTGGGATAAATGAAATACAATTTTTTTTTTTTTTTTTTTGAGGCAGGGTCTTGCTCTGTCAGCCAGACTGGAGTGCAGTGGCGCGATCTCGGCTCACTGCAAGCTCCACCTCCAGGGTTCATGCCATTCTGCTGCCTCAGCCTCCCGAGTAGCTGGGACTAAAGGCACCCGCCACCACACCCGGCTAATTTTTTTTTGGTATTTTTAGTAGAGATGGGGTTTCACCGTGTCAGCCAGGATGGTCTCGATCTCCTGACCTCGTGATCTGACTGCCTCGGCTTCCCAAAGTGCTGGGATTACAGGCGTGAGCCACCGCGCCCTGCCATGAAATACAATTTTATTTTGTGGGTGCTATATACTGAGTGTGAACCTGTTAGATAACTTTCAACATTGTCTGTAAAACAAAAGATGATTTCAACCTCTAAGAAAAGACTTGGATGGAAGGTATGAAATTGTGGAGACAGTAAAGAAATTTAGAAAAAGTCAAACTGAAGTTAGAAAGACAATAGAAGCAGAAAGCATAACTCCGTATCTATGTGGAGTGAAAAGCACACTCTAAGTTTGAATTCATGGAGTTATATTGGGTCAATCTAGCAGCTGTGTGACTTATACAGAAGTAGCACTCTATAGGTCAGGTCCAGTAATAGAATGGTTATTGGGGTAAACCCATTTGGACATTGAAGTTATGTACTTGCTGGGTGAGGGTAATCCGGTGAGAAAACAAGAGTATTAGCAAGAAAAGACGTACAATGATGCATTCTGAGGATAGATTTGAAAGTGAAGGCCAAAATCGAAGTGGAGTTTGATAGATTAGATTAAAAAAAACTAAGGATTTAAAGTCTCAATTAGTAGAAAAAAAGACAGTAGAGACAGACTGTGGAGGAGGACATTAGGAAAATACAAGACTGCTATGCATGGTAGAAAACTTGATTTTAAGCTCTTAGAAAAGAAATAATTTTAAAGGTAATAGGATCCAGTGGGTTGTCATGGGTGTAGATATCCAAGGAGATTGACAATAAAATTAACGTATGAGCATATTGTTGCATATTGGTATATATTCATTGATTGATTGTCAGTTAATGTTCAACAGACTGATACACAAATTTAAGTGGCTAATAACCCAACATATTAATTCCATTCTAGATTCCACATCAAAACATGTCACATCTATCTGAGATTTGAGTTTGCTCCCATTTTTTTCTCATGTTTTCTATCATTTCTCATAGACATCCTGTAAGCACCAGTCCTTCTGAAATGCAATGGGGTAAATTTTGCTTATATTTTTTAAACTTTCACATTACCATAGATACTGACAGTAAAATAACAAAAGTATACTATAAAGCTTTTAGGACATTTAATCATCTGAAGTCAATAAGTTTAGTAAATCAGGATATATACATAAAAATAAAAATATTGATGTTGTAATCATTCAGATATGTTCCAAAAAAAAAAAACTTTAAGAAAGGGGCAGCTTAATTTTATAACACATAACCTAAATTTCTAATAATCTAATAGAAAAATGATACCCACTTTTCTCATTTTTACTTCTCTGGATAAAGACTTCAATTTTGACACTTTTTAAATATCTTTTAGATTGTCAGTTTTATTGAACTGAAACATTTCTATTTGTGGCAAACTTTTTCTACTCAGCTTATGAAACTGCTTTCACTTTAAATTACTGATACTCATTTATTCAAAAGTGAATAACAATAGGAAAGAGTATTTGTTGATTAATTTTAGTCATCTTTTAACCCAAATGTAAATCTATTTAAAAGAATAAGAAGATTTTTTAAATATTAGATTAATTTTTATGAATTTTTGATCATACAGATGAACTCAATGGCATAATATGTTGATTGCTAATAAAGTCATTTAATATTCTACACATCTGCATATTTATCAGTTCTAAGTGCAGTCTAGCAATCAGCAATATCCCCATGATAACTCTCCTGTGGTGCTTGGCAAGATAATATAATGCCTGATGAGCAGTAAGGCACTCTCGAACCAAGAGGCAGTGAGCTTTCAATTTTGGTACAAAGGAAATGAGCTCATCCTGCTTCCCCAGGCAGTGGAGTCAGCAAAGAGCAAGGGCACCCCCTGGGCAAGAAAAACCCAAACAGGACTAAATATTTAAAAGAAACCTACAACACTTTTCAAAATATTTTAAAAAGATGAAATAGAGTGTTATGCTCCATTAATAATATATACTTAGCATTAAAAATACTTTTTCAGTGAAATAGGCTTGTAATTTAAAAGGAAGAATTCTCATTAGGTGTTGTTTTATGCATAGTAAAGTATTGTAATAAAAATGTACCTCCAAAGAACTTCAACTCACAGTATATTCTTGGTGCATGATGATGCTTTGAAGAGGGTATATGTTACTTGCTGCCATTACCACTAATGGAGTCATATATATGTTGTCATATAAACATATATTGTTTATATGTTTTACTATTTATAATACAGTGTACAGTATGAAGATGATGCTATATTTGCTTTTCTATTACTAAGCTAAGAACTAAAAAACAAAGTGAGCACTTTGAGGAAAATTGAAAATACAGTATGTTTGTATCATAGCCCTAACTATACTTTATTGTAACCACCTGTATAATTACTTTCTCTGAGAATACAGAAGAGCTGCCTTTCTGTAACCACCTAGCTTCAGACTTGGTATATTGTAGATATCTAAATATCTGTCAGATGAATAAGAAACGAATGGTACATTTTAGATTCTTCTTAAATTTCTCTTTTAGATTTCAAAACGAATTAGTAATCTGTTAACTATATATATTTCACTAAAAACCAACAATACATAAAGAAGAGATAAAATAAGGCAAGACAACTTCTTTCATGAAAACACTTGCATTAGCTTACTCTATACATATTATCAAAAGCCTACTTTTGTGCTTGGCACTTGTGTTATATCAGTGGGAAAAAATGCATAAATTCTTGGTGTCATGGACCTTATGTTCTCATGGGGAGGGAGAGCCAAGAAATGTATTTAAATAGCAATTTGTAAATTAGATTATATTTAATGATGATTAAGTTTTGTGGGAGGTGGAGGCGGAAAGAGAAAGTAGAGCAGGATAAGGGGAATGAGGCAGGCTACTTCAGAAGGAGAGGCATGTTGAAAATTTTTAAATAGCATAGACCAGGAAAGACTCATTAAGGAAATGACATTTGAGCACAGGGTAAGACAGTAAGCCCTGTGGATATCTCAAGGGCAACACACAGCAGGAAGAAGGCTCGGACAGTAAAAATATGCCAAGAGAAGAACACATCTGCCATATTAGTACAATGTGGCTGGATCATTTAGGGGAGAAATAGAAAAGTAAATCAGAAAGGCAAGGACGGACCACATTAAGTACAGCCTTGCCAGGCATTGCTAAGGACTTTGAATTTCACTCTAAGCTAAATGTGGAGCTATTGGATAGTTTTGGAGGAATGAACTGATTGACAATTTAAAAAGATCCCTCTGGCTTCTTTGTTAAATATTGACCACTGGAAGTAAGAGTGGAAACAGGTAGAGCCCACAACATTACTGTGTATTTAATGTGGTGTGTAAAATAAAAAGAGGAGTTGAGGATGACTTCCAATTTTATAGCCCAGGTAACCTGTAGTGAAAATATAATTTTAAAAATATACAGTATAGGGAAAGTAAAATGAGCTCAGTTATGCCCTAGAATCTGGGTAGTATAAGTTACGTATTTATTGATTCAAATAAATACAAGTTCAATAAAATTAATTTCAATCCAAAATAAGAAAGGATCTTGTATTTGTCTTTCTTTGCACACATCTTGGCTGTTCAAGGCAGATTAAGTACACTCCAGGTATATGGAATGCCTCTTGGATACCTGATGCATGCAGGTATCCTCTTTCTCTTAATGCACATATCTTACGTTTCTACAAAACAAAGCCTTATCTGAGTATATTCTGTGAAGTCTGTTCAATCATTTCACATATCTGAACTGGGGAAAACAATACAGGTTCCAGTGTAAAAAGAAGAGATATCACATGACAAATGAGGTTTGCAATATGTTCACCTAGATAGATCTGAGAAGACAGTAACTTGTATCTAGTTGTCCCCAAAGTAGAAACCAGATCATTCCACTCAGTCCAGAGGTCTTCAAATTGAGATACTCTTACAAAGTCTTTGTCAACTGATGCACACTATAACATAAACTTAAGTGGTGAAGTTTACCAAAAAATTGAGTAGGTATAATTTTTAATAGATATTGAGGGTATTTAATAGATATTGAGGGCATTTGTAGCTTACTGACTGTGAAATAAATAAATCAACATATTCTGGGAAAGCTGTCATTACACCAAAATGTCTTTTCATTAATAACAAAAGGAATTTTCATTTTTTTGTTCACTATAATGGTGGCTAATATATACAAGACATTTAATAAACATTTGTTGAAAGGATAAACCACAGTGCTGAATTCAAATGCAGTATTTTATCAGATATCATGTGTATCAATTAGTGGATTAGGTCATTTTCATTAGCTCCCAATGACATATAAAACAGCAGGAAGAAAAGATGACATAAACATAAGAAGTCTGTCAAATTAAAAAAGAAAAGATATGAAATAAGCAGTAAAATTATCAGTAACTGTTCATAAACCAATCTGGAACTAAGGTAATAGAATGTTGCACTAATTTGTAAGTCATGATGAAAGGCTAAGCTTGCACATTTATAAAATTGCTCTCCTAGGCAGTGTCTCACAATTACATATTGATAATTTTAGAATAGTTGAACATGTGTATGTGTAGACTGCAGTAGATATTTATTGCTTTTCAGTCACCCAGTATACATTCACATTTCCTTTGGAAAAACACACTAAAATCTCTCTTGCAGAAATACCTCATTTTTTTTCACATTGCATAAGGCCATATTGTGCTTTATTCATCCTTAGATACTAAAACACTTCAGTTCTGGTTCATGTCTTTTCTGGAGCTGGGTTTTAAAGTTTCTGTTTAATTATTTCATTCGCCTGAGGTCCTTAAAATGAATTTCAGCTTTATTCAAAATTGCCAGAATAAGTTTCCTTTGTTTATAACCAACCGTACATGTTAGAGAAAATATACTATGTAAGATATACTATGGGGTGTAGTTAGTTTTTCAGCTTTGAAAATAAAATAGGGGAAGGTGTAGCTTATGATTAAGGAAAAAACTGTAAATTTTAAAAGATTTGCACTGCTTCTGAGAATTCATATGGATTGTATCATGCATCACAACATGCGTCAAATAAAATACAAGGGATTGAAAGCAGAGAATTTCTTCTCCTGAGCCTGTTTATGTTGTTTACATTTCTAGCTCTTTCTCTGTTTAGTGTTTGACCTCAGAGAGTCAAATATAACATCAACCATCATGGCTTGAACTTTCCCCAACACCAAATGTTAATTGAAGCAGAAAGTTACACATGGAACTTTTTAAAGTAAAATTGAATCATTTTAGTTTTGTATATTTCTGACTTTTCAAGTGTCTTTTATCTTAATTTTACACTTATTTTTTAAATTAAGATGCTTTTATTTCCTGACAACCATTTGAAAATCATTTAAATTTTAAATATGAGATTTCTTTAGTTATTAAAAGTATTTAATTCTACACCTTTAAAATGGATTACAAACTTTCCACCCAAATTTTTTTATTTCTCAATTCTTTTTACAAATTGAATGATTGTATTGCATATATGTCCTTGTAAATCAATACTTTTTACTCAAGCAAAAGTTTCTAATTTTAGTAGGCAACAAAAGGAGTTTGAACAAACAACTTTGAAGTCAGATCTTCTAACTCCCAGGACTGGGTGTTCAAATTGCCACGAAAAAAAAAAAATAAATAAATAAATAAAAATAAACTTTTAATGTTTAGGGCACAACATAGCACATTACAAAACTGATATAGTTTTAGCACACAGACCATGAACTTATTTTTTAAAACTAAGATTGCTAAGATATTCTCCACTATTCTCCTAGCTACAAAGGGCTACCTGAGCAGTCTTTAGATTCATACTCACCCCAAACTGATATAGACTATTCAGGTATGATGTATCACACAGAAAAAAATACATTTTTATATTGATCACCTTCAATACACTGTTCCACTGATACTGCTGTGTACAATCTCTGCTTTCTTCTGCAGCCCCAAACTGATTGTAGTGAGCCCAAGAACATAATATTTAAAATTCAATTCATAAGCCACTTAATTGGTTAGGAATTTATCCATTACTCAAAATTTTTTCTAAACAGGATTATTCTTGGTCCACTGTTTTCTCTCTTAAGAATATGACTGGGGAAAAATGAAAAGAATCTGGTGCTTACCACATTTAGTACAGTCTGAAAAGTGCTGGGAGTCGAAGCAGAAACAAAAATTATTAGAAAGTCAGACTATGAGCACACCAAAAATACAAATACAAGAATGCTATTAAATTGTACAAAGTTCTAAAAACACATGCTCAATGAATGTGAGAAATTTGCATACAAGGAGCTGAAAGTTTGAAACAGAGTAAAGTAATAATAAAGCCTTGTGAAAGAAGAGCTTTTGGTTGAAGATGGGACATTGTGGCAACTGTCTACTTATTGCCTCTTGGCTCTAAGTTCACCCTTGATTGCCTGTCTTGAAATAATGGAGACAGGCTTTATAAACATTTTTTTTTTTTGGTCAACTGGACAATGTTAAGGTTTGTCAGTGGAGGGTGTTGGACAATGAAGAATTTTTGTTTTGTTTTGTTTTGTTTGGTTGTTTTGTGTTTTCTGGCATGGTTCTATTACCAGCCTCCCGAGAGGTAGGGAAAATGCCTTCTCCAACATCAGGCTCTTGCAGTGCATGGAGAGCCACAGCTGCCCCTGTAGTTCCTCTACAGCTTTACGTCAGAATGACACTCAACCACAGCATTCACTCTATGGCTTTCTAACAAGAACCTAGATATAGCATCTCTCTGTGGATGGCTTCCACGGAATCTCAGAGTTTTGCATCACAGCACCTGAGCAACTTCCCCACCACCTAGTTATCTATGTCTGCACCTTCTCTAATAAGGTCTTTAAGCCTTGGGTGGGGGCAGGACCCTCCTGCTTGGGCACTCTGTCTCAGACCTAGGATTAGTGGTTGCTTCTTATATATGCTATTCTTGTATTTCTTTTTACTTATTACTAGCCAACTTCCCATTATTTCAATTCCTAGTTAAAGTTAATGAATCTTTATATTAAACTTTCCCTGTCTAAAGTACGGTATGCTTTGCTCCCTGATTGGACTCTGACCAATACAGGTGGCAAGAAAATAGCTTCATTGAATCACTTCCATAAGGTCTGTTTATAGGATAAAGCTTGAACCATCTAGAAAATTCTTATGTGTTTATTACCTTATTTAGATATAAAATTGTTACTTTTATAATTCCAGACAAGGACATGTGGCTTATCTGCTTTATGAAATCATATCTATATTTATTCACATCTTTCAAATGGTTGAGGTGTTGTTACAAGGTATCAAGGAAGAAAATAGAGGGGTAGAAAGATTGCAAACACTAACATGTGTTTTAAAACAAAAACAAATTTATCATCACACTTTTATTACCAATGATTGGGGACTCCTATTAACAATCCAAGATCTTCTGGTTTCTCTTCTGATACCGCAGGGAGTTTGCCCTTTTTTTTTTTTTTTTTTTTTTTTTTTTTTCTAATTTCTCAGTGCTTGCTGCCATGTCAGGCTTGCTTGGGCTTATTGGGTCCATTTCTTTCAAGGTTGAGGCTAGAAATGTGCAACTTTCTGGAAAATAAACACAAACGTCAGCCTTCAGCCCATTCTTCTGGAAAGCAAGGATTTGTGATAATTGCTTGGATAATTGTGTGCACAGGAAAAGTTAGGTACTTTATTTTTGCTAAAACAAAGCCAAAACCGCCACCTCTAGATATCCAAATATAGGAGTATTTTGTAATTTTTAGAGCATTCAAACTAGAATTTCCCTATACCTATCCACCTGGATTTTCTTGTTGAGATTTCGATTCCCAAACTCTGTTACCTCACTGACTGTCCCAGTCTACTCCTGAGTTTGGAGTGTGGACTTCATTATTTGTCGCATGCTTGATGGATTACTAGAGTTGCCTTCTTTTCCTCTTCAACCGTGATTAACTTTGCCAACAGAAACATTAGGTTGGTACAAAAGTAATTGCGGTTTTTGCCATTACTTTCAATAGCAAAACCACAATAATTTTTGCACGAACAAGTAATTCATGGAGTTCTGGGTAGTGGTTAAATACGCTATTATTACTTGTTCCTACTTACTCATTTGAGCTCTTTTGAACTTTCTATGTGAGTCCATCAACAGACAAACAGATGTCTTGCTTAGTTATTGTGTAACATGTGCACGCTGCTCTAGTTAATTATACGTAGTTTGAAATTACAATCCCATTCAGTATCTGCTTTGCCCTAAATGTATCCCATGGCTGTGAAGCAGTTGTCTGCAAGAACATCAGTGCTTGTAACTGGGTCCAAGGACAACCCCTGGAAGCAATATTGCAGGTTTACATTTGAAAAATAGCTCATTTCTGAACATGCCAAATTCCTACCATGATTAAAATCATTTTCTTCAGTTCATGACAATGTGCATACTGAGAAAAAGAAAAAAACTACCAAGTTACTAATTGCAACTAGTTTGTACCAGCTGATTTAATCCCTGAAGGATAAGACTATTTGGTTTGATTGTAGAGCAGGCATAGTTTTGAACTAATGTAACAAATCCTGATATTGATTTTGCTCACTATCCCCAAATAATCACAGTTTTTAAATAATATAGGGTCCTTATAAGTTGGTAAAAACTGATTTTCATTTTGCATTTTTAGCAGGATTGTTTTAGATGATGACAGTTTAGAAAAGTTTTTTTATTATACTGTACATAGCTTTTACTTTGTACTTAGTATATACAATTTCTAATACTCAATTATTCCCAAATTTGCAAATCCAATATCAGAATATTTTCTACATTATCTGTTTGGCTTTTTCATGCTATTCAAGAGCCATCTTTTGATGTTATTCCAAAAACATTTTAAATCAGAAATAATGGTGACTATAACACCTTTGGTCCCAAAGTGGGGAGGTAGAAGATGGAAATTATTTCCAAAGAAACCATTTACCAGCAAGGGTTTTTATTGCGTGGATTAATTTCTGCACAGATACACATTTACAGCTAAAATAATTTAAATGGAATTTCATTTGTACTTAAGTCTCTCAAAGAATACTAATCCTATTCATTACACCCGTAACATTCCTTGAAAACCTTTTCCCTTCCCAATTTCTATGTCCTCTGTAGTTATTCCTAAGGACCTTAATTGTCAAATTCTTAAATTCTTCTTTCAGTTCAGCCTCATCTGGCTTTTCTCTTTCTTTTCTTCACTGTTTTCCATATTTCCTTATTTAGCAAGTAGGCTAATATAAAAAGTTTTACTATGGGCAGGAGTTAGTAGAAAAGACGTGAATATTCATTTTTGCCCTGTTGCAAAATAATTCACCATTATTTTAAGGAGTCTGTTTCTGTAAATTATTATTATGGTCAAATATGGTAACCTGCTTTTTGTCACTGAGTGTTATGACCAAAGAATCACACATGAATACGGATTCTAAAAAAGAGTTGCATGTAAAAAAATCCCAACATGTGAAGTGAATATTTTTACAATGTGTATCATTAAAATATCTCCCATCATCACTTCAAATTTTAAATGCATGTTTTTCTTGGTATTCTGCTTTACAAGTCAGGATTTTAATTCATCTGAGAAATCTGATCTGGAAATTCTCACTAATGCAAATATTAAACTGCTAGATTTAGAATATGGTCAGTGGCATAGGGCATATGTTTTTTGTTAATTTACAATTTTCCAGGAAAAATAATGAAATCCTAGTTTATATGATTTCTGTCTTATCTTTGAGCAGCTCAGCTTTTCCAGTAAAAGAACACCATATAATTAGATTAAGTTTGTCTAAAGATTCTCATTATGGGCTGAAAGTTTGTATCCTCCCCAAATTTATATGTTGAATCCGTGTTCCCCAATGTGAGGGTATTTGGAAGTGAGGCCTTTGGGAGGTAATTAGATTTCAGTTAGATCATAAGGGCAGTGACTCCATGCTGGGATCTTCTCTGTAGGAAGAAGGTGGAAGACCAGAACTTGCTCTCTTTCCACTATGTCAGGACACAGAAGACAGCTATCTGCAAGCTCCAGGAAGAGGGCTCTCACCAGGAACTGAATCAGCCTGTCCTTCTTGGGCTCCCCAGGCTCTATACTATGAGAAACAAATGTTGTTGTTTTAGTCACCCAGTATATGACATTTTGTTATAGCAGCCCAAGCTAAGGACAATTTTCTTTTGTGGTTGCACTAGTTATAGTTTGCAGATATGATTTACTTTTGTTCAACTTTCAATATTTAACAACATCTTAATTGAGGAGATTGACGAGTTATCCAGATGCCAAAATATACACTTTATATTTAAAAATTGGTCATTATCATTTTAATTACACTTTAAATGCACATTATAATAAAGCATAAAACTCAGTTTAATCACATTAAATACATATGTATCTATATGTTATATAATACCTGTATACCTATAAACACTAATATAATATATAACCATATTTAATATATAAAACATTAATACTTACTATAAGTGATATATGAATATTTATATTACTTGAGATTATGGAGTTGAGTAGTTGACTAGGATAATAATTATTCCTAAAGGTTTAGTGCAAATTAAAAGAAAAAAGGAACCAAGTCACCCTAAGTACATTTCTAAAAAGGGAGAGGGATCATTTGACACTAACTCTCCACCAAGAGCTCTTTGGCAAATTTGGATGTTATAACTCACTGGCAATTGAGGAGCTATTTCTCACTCTTAGCCAGAGGAATTAAGAGAAATGGTTGAAAAATATTTCCTCTCTCTGCTCATGGTTATATATAGCTAATATCATACAATATTTTATTCCTGTGGATGAGTGCTTAGCTTGACTGAATCTTTACAGCTTATATTTTTATTAAGTAGAAATAAAGATAGAAATATAAAGTATTAAGTAAAATAATTAAGACCTATAAAATGTATATAGAGAAACAGTATTTCCAACAACCAACTTAAAAATCAAAGAATGTGTTGGAAATTCTAGAATTGAAGTCATCAGAAATTTTTACTTCACTTATATTGACCTATGTGTTTTATAACTAACTGTAAGTAAAATACTATTCAAAAGTGTGAATGTAATCCACTTTTATGGATGATAAAGTTGTTGCTATTTTGCAATCAGGTGAAATCCACCCTATTTGTAACTAGAAAAAAATAGATGTAGAACGTTAAGATTTTCTTTGAAATATTTTCCTTATATACTGTTAATTGCAAAATACTGAAAAAGTCAAATATGAGCTAAAAGAGACTAACCATATATTTTAACATTAAGATTTCCATCATATTGACTATGCTAATTTTCCATATACTAGTTATTTTATATTATACTCATTGATAAGGTGAAAAAATTATAATAAAGTATTTATTATTGGTAAGAGGTTGACATAAATCAAAGCACTTCATATGTAGAGCAATTATTTATATTATTAATTCCACATAGGTTGTTTATAATTTTATACTATACCTTACTTTGGACAATTCTATAAGAAGCACAAAACTGGGTCATTGCATGTTAACCTTCAATCCTTATGCTCTGCTCTCCTTAAGTAATTAGATCTGTGGAAAAGAACCATATAGAACAGTCAAAGATATTTCACCACTATAGCATAAAAGCCAAGGATTCATTTTTTGTTTAGTAGCATCAGAAATATTAAGTAATTTCCCATTAAGTAAGCTTGCTAATATATTTTTAAAAATCTACAGAGGGTAAAAACAATAATCTTTCTTATTCTGGTTTACAGTGAAAGAAGTTAGGGCTAATTTTGATTTTTTTATACAAATATATTTATTCTTATGCACTTAACTGAACGTTGTAAGCATGCTAATGCGTAGTGATTAGTTTTATTTTTCTAAAAAAGTACCTTTTGATGTGATTGCTGTTACACTGTTAATGATTTGAAAACAGAGAGATTTGCCCCTGTGAAGAAGATGGCAAATTAATGAACCTGATGCAAACAATTTGGTTCTAAAAGTTGATACTTTAAATTATACCTTCTGGCTAAAAGCAGTTAAAAATTTTAGAATAGCAAACTTGACCCAAATGCAATCTTAACAATTTATGGGAAAAGAAATAATCTTGTCCCCCACCACATTTCCTTCCACTATGATAGAATTGATTTGATAAAAATAAAATTTAATTTTGTCCCAGAATTAAAACTTTTCAAGTCCCCCAAGTGATTCCCAAAACCCTGATGAAGTTTTTACTTGTCTTGAGACAGAAGAGAACAAAAAGAACATTGTCACAAATTGTGCATAAAACTAAAGGTGTTCAATTTATTGAAGTATCCCATGTTTTTACATGATTTTATATTACTGTGGTTCTAAAATCACTTCATGGTTTTGAAATAATGATACTAATAAAGACTTATTGTTTTCTAATCTTATTTGCAAAACTACGTAACTGACTGTCTTAGAGGGTTTCTCTCATCTTTTTTTCATTTCTACTGTCTTCCTTTTTTTTTTTTTACTTTATTTTCTCTTTTTATTTGCTTTTACTTTATTCAAATTGTTGTAATCATTGGCCTAGTCAATGAAGTTGAAACTCTCCAGCTTGATGCCTAAGGCTTTATATTTCCAGACTTATCTTTTATATTTTGTAAGCAACTCTTTATCATTCAATAATATCTAGCTCTTACTCTCCTATGCCTTTGTGTTTGCTATTCCTTCTTCTAAAGTGTAAATCTTATTTCAAGACTTAAGTGCTATGTCTTTCTACCATAACATCTCAAAATACATTTAAACATCCTTCCTGTCTACTCTCTTGATATAGCCTGTGATTGCATTTATCACATTGAATTTTTATCTTTTTGCATTCCAATACTTCTGTCATTGTATTTGCCACATTGCATTATAATTTTTTAATGTTCTTGGCTTCCATAACACAGTGAACTCCTTGAGTGTTGGAACCATGCCTAATTTATTCTTGCATTTCGATTTCCTAGAATATAATGTATGCAATAGTCATTTAATAACAATTTTGTGCATGAATTCCTGAATGAATGAATGAATGAATGACTCATCACAGCCACCACTAACTCTGACAAAATTACCATGAGTATAGCTTATTTGCTAATTGTACTAAGATGAGATTTAAATGTTTATATTATTGGTTTAGAGATTTTCAGCTCTATGCTTCATAATCACTTGTGGATCTTTATAAAATCCATGTTTGGTTCTCTGTCTTAGAGAGTACATTCTGTTGATCTGTTGTATTGGAGTGGCTTTGACAATTATATATTTATTCACTTGTTTGTTTTAATTTTTCCTCATGATTCCTATAAGTGATCAGATTGAGAAAAAAAGGAGATAATTTCTAAAGCAAGTCATATAGTATAATTGTCTCAATATTAGAAACTTAGAAAACACAAATAAAAATACAGATATAACCTAAACTTTCAGTAGGTTTGATTAATTGTAGAGTACCACTTTGACAATTACTCATATTGATTTGCATGTTATTTTATTTCAGTTTCATCACATCCACAAAACTTAGTCTCAGTAAGTAGTAAGAACATTTGCAAGATTCAGAACACTATTCACCACCACCATGACCTTGAAAACTAGCTAGTAATGAACAAGATGACTAGTGTAGAAGATGGAGTTGGAGTTTACAACTACAAATAAATTCTGCCTTGATATTTGCGCTACAGTATCTGTATGGTGATTTAGTGAAGTTTTGATATCTTCAGCTCAACTATAGCTTCACTAGAATAGGGAGCATTGCTGTGATTTGATTAATCTAGTCACAGTTTGTGGTTTCACTTTTCGAGAAGGACAGTAAAATAAGATTTAGTTGTAATGATATGTACAGTATAGCGTGTCATAAAACCTTATCTCATAAAATGTCTGAATAACTTTCCAAGTCGTAAGAAAGAAGAAAAAAATAAGAATTTATGACAAAAATAATAAAGGAGGTTCTGTTATTGAAGGTCTGCTTGTACTGCTGAAACTCAGGAATAGCATACATTGAAGTGGAAACAATCTTGATGAAGCTGCTGATCTAATATAACCGTTCTTTCCTCTTACTTGATTTGTGGAATAGAATCCATACAGATATGAGTTTCCCAACATCATTGTCAATATGATTAGAGGCTTATGTGTCTTGGTTCTAAATCATTATGTGTAGTTACTGGACAACTCATAGAACAGATTATTTTACACATAAAGTTTTTATGACTTATATCTCTATTTCAGCACTGAAATGATATGCTCAAAGAGTGAACATTTATATTTAAACTAAAACCAAATAACATAAATATTATTAGTAAAGGATGCCATAATAAATAATTGATATTAATCAATGTAGATATATAATAAGGTTTCCTAATTTGGGTTTCTGGATTAGAAGAGATGTTGTTATAGGCGGTATACATAACCATAATACAAAAAAAAGTTTTTGTACTTTGTAAACTCATGGTAGTGGATAGTAATGCAAGAGTCTTATTGTCAGATTTATTCATTTTTATAGAGCAGTGTGCAAAAGCACTGTACTAATGTGGTTGTGCTTGTTCTCAGTTTTTGAGGACACATGGGTGAGACTGCTTGTAATAGTTAGGGGTTAATAAGACAGAGAGGAGAGGAGGCTGATGTCATCTGACTCTCCCTCCCAAATCATCCACCCTAACCTCCTGTTATGCACCATCAATTGACTTAGGAAAATTACAGGAGTGAATATGCCCTATCACTATAAAAGAAAATCAGAGGGAAAATGTAATCCAGAAGAAAGCATTTTTAGATGCCACAACAGCTTTCCTCATTTACACTTTGTTATTGCTATAAACATTGCATAATCTTGATTATGTAGGTTGGAAGTAAATTGTTTTGTGAAGTTTCTATATTTTACTTTTAAAAATTTTTACCTATTTATTATACCCTCTGTTTTATATTTTATTAGCCTTTTTAAAAAATAAAGATGTCTGAGAGTCCAGTGTAGTATTTATTTATTTTTGTTGTTTTTGTTTATTTTTAATTTTTAGAGACAAGGTCTTGCTCTTTCACCCAGGCTGGAGGGCAGTGGCATGATCATGGCTCGTTGCAGCCCCACACACCTGGGCTCAAGCACTCCTCTTGCCTAAGCCTCAGGAGTAGCTACGACTATAGGCGTGGGCTACCATGCTCTACTTATTTTTTTTTTTCTTAGAGACAGGGTCTTGCTATGTTGCCCAGGCTGGTCTCAAACTCCTGGCCTCATGCAACCCTCCTGCTTCAGCCTCCCAAAGTGTTGGGATTACAAGCATAAGCCACCATACCCAGCCAGTGTAGTGGTCTTGAAGATGAGGTATGAGAGAAAAAGGAGGATTATAGGTCTGAACCCATAAATAATTCTAGGAAAGTTGCTGATAATTATAATCTTGTGAATTATTTCACAAGTGTAACAAGAGACACGACAAAGAAAACTTGCTGTCACAATGAAGGCTTCGTCTTCATGGGCTTTTGCTGTGCTAGTCATTCAAGTTTCCTACTTCTTCATGTGTCATCTATGACAACAAAACTAAAAAATTTAGGAATATTCCAATAAAATTGAAAAAATTCTTCATCATAAATCACTGTTTTTTGACACTAGAAAGAGCTAATTATTTTAAATGGATATTGAAATCACAAAGAAAACTAAATAAAGTTTTTATTTTAAAAGTCACATTGGTGAAAAGCCTCAGGATGCATGTTATTTAGCAGTAAAAGTTATTTCCCAGAGAAGGAAAAGTCACAGGGTTTGTGAGAACCTAATGTCAGCATGTAAAATTATAAATAAATATGAGGTGCGGTGTGAGGATTTGAAAATTTTCTACTCTCAGACAGTATAATAGACATATTAATATCATGTCACAAGACGGTAAATAAGTTTTCTGTAATTATCTGAAAAAAAAAACAGCTTCTATATCAGGTTGATGCATCCTGAGATATTCTCAGTAAATGTCATGCTGTAGCATTTGTAAGACTGTGAAATCCCAGGTTTATTTTTTTCTCTGCTGAAAACAATGACCTAATACAAGCAAAGGCCAAGATGTTTTCAATGTTTTTCCTGTTATCTACAATCAGAGTCCGTCATAGAAGAACTGTACTGACATGTCTGCTGATCATGACCTGTCAATACTTAGCTTCATGAGAGGTTTAAATCTTCTTAAACAAAAAGATCATCCTGAGGTAGTCACAACAATGCCTTCTTCACCAAGAAGTGCTGGTAGCAGAAGTTGTTGAGGTGAAAAAAAAAAGTTACGCATGATGTTACAAAAGTGCTCTACTTTATTAATCAAAGGCCAGTTTAGTTGAGAATGTTTTAAAAATGAGGTGTACACCTGGACAAAGCCCACGTAAGTCTGCTACACGCAGAAATCTGGTGGGTTAGTAGAGGAAAAGTGCTCAACAGGGTGTGTGAGCTGAAAGGTGAGTTGAAGGAGTGCTTTAAAAAATAATAGACCTGATTCAGCTGAGACTTTCAAGAAGGATGGCTGTGGAAACGGGGCCTGCTTAGCAGATGTATTTCTACACGTGGACCAGTTTAATAGATCTTTGTGAGGCCCTATAGGAAATGTCATAAAAAGGAAATTGATCTTCTGAGAAATCAGTTGCAAAAGTAAATTCAAGTGTTTCCATTACTGCTTGGGTTTGAGTGTAGGAAAGGAAATCATCAAGCCTTAAGCTTACATTTAGAAAAACATAAATCCTACTTTGGCTTAACAGTTTTATTTAACAGAAATTTATTATATTTGCATAATGAGTTTTTAAAATTTATGAAAAGAGAAAGAGGTTTCAAGAAAGTAAACTGAGATTAATTACCTTTTTTTTTCTGAAAAGGCTGGCTAAAAATATTATATTTTAGCTTGAAAGAATGGGAAAAACAATCGAGCAAACACCATGTATTACATACCGTATAGCACATCAAAATCTTATAGAGTAGAAATTTGTAAGGAGTTGTTAGAGCATACTTGGACAAGCGAAAGAAACAAAAAAGAAATTAAAACATGTTTCCCTTCTTGGCACTGCTGCTATGCATCTTGTAAGGAGGAATAATCACCCAAAAAGACAAAGCTAACACAAAGACCACACTTGTATTAGTTTATTATTGTGTAACAAATGACCAAAAACTTAGTGGCTCAAAAAAACAGTCATGTATCAACTTATAGTTTCATAAGTCAGAAATCCAGCATGGTGGGCTGGATTCTCTGCTCAAGGTCTCAGCAAAAATTAGTGTTTGCAAGACTGTATTTCATTTTGCAGGTTTTTAGGGAAGAATCTTCTTCCAGGCTCGTTATTTTTTTGAAGTTTTGTTTTATTTTGAATTGACACATAATAATTGTACATATATATGGGGCATAATATGATATTTTGATAACACTCTTAAAATTTTGTGGGTTTTTTTTTTTTTTTTTTTTGAGATGGAGTTTCGTTCTTGTTGCCCAGGTTGGATGCAATAGCCCCATCTCGGCTCACTGCAACCTCCGCCTCCCAGGTTCAAGCAATGATTCGCCTGCCTCAGCCTCCTGAGTAGCTGGGATTACAGGCATGAGCCACCATGCCAGGATAATTTTGCATTTTTAGTAAAGACTGGGTTTCTCCATGTTGGTCAGGCTGGTGTCGAACTCCCGAACTCAGGTGATCCCCCTGCCTCAGCCTCCCAAAGGGCTGGGCTTACAGGCATGAGCCACCACGTCTAGCCAAATTTTTGTCTTTTTGATAATAGCCATTCTAACTGGAGTAAGTTGATATCTCATTGTGGTTTTGATTTACAATTCCCTGATGATTAGTGATGCTGAGCATTTTTTCTTATCTCTGTATGTCTTCTTTTCAGAAATGCCTATTCAGGTCTTTTTCCTATTTTTTCATCAGATTATTTATTTTTATGTTTTTTTTTTTTTTTTTTTTTTTTTTTTTTTTTTTTTTTGAGATGGAGTTCCACTCTTGTTGCCCAGGCTGGAGTGCAATGGTGTGATCTTGACTCACCGCAACCTCCACCTCCCGGGTTCAAGCAATTCTCCAGCCTCAGTCTCCCGAGTAGCTGGGATTACAGGCATGCCCCACCACGCCAGGCTAATTTTGTATTTTTAGTAGAGATGGGGTTTCTCCATGTTGGTCAGGCTGGTCTTGAACTCCCGACCTCAGGTGATCCTCCTGCATCCGGCTCCCAAAGTGCTGGGATTACAGATGTGAGCCACCGCACCCAGCCTCATCAGATTATTTATTAATGTTGCTGTTATTATTTTTATTTTGCTATTGAGTTGTTTCCTTCCTTATATATTTTGGATATTAACCCCTTGTCTTATTTATAGTTTGCAAATATTTTCTGCCATTCTGTAGGTTGTCTCTTCACTCTTGATTGTTTCCTTTGTTGGGCAGAAGGCTTTTCATTTGATGGGATCTCATTTGTCTAGTTTTACTTCTGTCGACTGTGCTTTTGTGGCCTTATCTTGCTCCGGCCAATGCCATGAAGTTTATGTTTTCTTCTTGTAGTTTTATAGTTTTGGTTTTCAACAACCAATGGGTCAATGAAGAAATTGAGAGGGAGATTAGAGCCAAGCGCAGTGGCTCATGCCTGTAATCCCAGCAATTTGGGAGTCCAAAGCGGGTGGATCACATGAGGCCAGGCTGGCCAACATGGCGAAAACCCTTCTCTACTTAAAATACAAAAAATTAGCTGATCTGTGGGGCAGGTGGGGTGGGTGGGGGCGGCGCTTGTAGTCTCAGCTACTCCGGGGGCTGAGGCACAAGAATTGCTTGAACCCAGGAAGCAGAAGTTGTAGTGAGTTGAGATCATGTCACAGCACTCTCGTCTGGGTGACAGAGCTTGGTTTCATAGAAAAAAAAAAAAAGAAAGAAAAAGAAGACAGAAAAAAAGGGAGATTAGAAAAATCCTAGAGAAAAAGGAAAATGGAAACACAACATACTAAAACCTATGGATACAGCCCAAGCAATTCTCAGACGGAAGTTTATAGCAATAAATGTCTTTATCAAAAAAGAAGAAAGATCTCAAATAAACAATCGAATGTTGCACCTCAAGGAACTAGAAAAACACGAACGAACTAAATCTAAAATTAGTAGAAGGAAATAAATAATAATGATCAGAACAGGAATAAACAAAATACCGATTAGAAATAATACAAATGATCAACAAAACAGAAAGTTGGATTTTAAAAACATAAAATCAAGAAATCTTTAGCCAGACTAAAAAAAAAAAAAAAAAAAAAAGAGTAGGCTCAAATAGATGAAATGAAAGACGAAAAAAAAGATATTACATTTGACACCGTAGAAATACAAAAGACGATAAGAGACTATTATGAACAACTGTATGCCAAAAAAATTTGGATAACTTTAAAGAAATGGATACACTTTTGAACACTACAATCTACCAAGACTGAATCATGAAGAGAAAATCTGAACAGACCAATAAGGAATAACGAGATCGAATAAGTAATAAAAGGCCTCCTATCAATGCAAAGTCCAAGACCTGATGACTTCACTGTTGAATTCTTCCACGCTTATTATGGTTGGCAGAATTCATTTTCGAGTGGTTGTATGACTTGAGGTCCCTGTTTCATTGCTAGCTGTTGCCCCGGGGGTAACTCTCAGCTCTAAGAGACCAACCTCCAGTCCTTACATGTGGTCCTTTCCATCTTCAAAGTCAACAGTGACACACTGAATGCCCCTCATGTTTTGAATCTCTTACTCCTTCTTTTACTTGTACCTGGAGAAAATTCTCTGCTTTTAAAAAGGTTCCCTTGATTGGGCCAGCCCCAACCTGATAATCTGCATATTTTTAAATCATATACTTCATTCTTTCATTCTGTCTGCAAAATTCTCCCAGACTAGTAGCTTTATTAGTGTTTAATTGAATAATCAGAAAATGAGAACCACAATGTTTTACCTTCAGTGATAGGTACTAAATCGAAGCATTAAATGTGAATTATCTGAAATGTGGGTAAATATGAGGTCATAATGGAGTAGGCTGTACTCCTAATCAAATATGGTAAGTGTTCTTGTAAGGAGAGTGAAATTTAGTAGGAAGATAGCCAAGTGAACATGTGAACTCCAAGGATTTTGGGGTCATCACCAGAAATGAGAGACATGGAACAAATTGTCTTTCCATCTGATCCCAAAGAAATGAAGCCCATTCACACCTTACTTTTGGACAACTAGCCTCCAGAACTGTAAAAAAATAAATTTCTGTGGCTTTAAGCCACCTAGTTTTTAATACTTTATTATAGAAGCTCTAGAAATTGATATAAATTCAAAATAATTTCAGAGATTTTTGATAGACTTTATGGCCTCATATTTTAAAATTCATTTTCTTCATAAATATTACCTTACTACATAAGATTTATTTTGGTTTTCCAGTAACCCAACCCATTTTTTTCTGCCTAATGTCTTCAGATGTTGTTTTCTCCTTCTAAAAAATTCCTTTTCTCACTCTCCAAACAGCTAGCTTTTATTTGTGGATTTTATCAGTTAATTAGTAGAATGTTAAGCTTATTTTGAAATAATTAAATATCAGGGCCTGTGCTAAGATTAACACTATTTTAATCCATGCCAATTGTCTAACTTGAAAACTTTAAGTGCAATTAGAATCCAGTAAATAGATTTTTAGTAAAAGTTTACAGAATATGGAATTATTTAGAAGGAAGCTAAGTCCTGAAGGGTTGATGTAATTTGGCTGCAGAGGAATGTCTTATTCTATTCATGTTCTAATAAATGAACTTTCTATTCACACAAGTGCAATATCTTTGAGAGAAAAGGTTACAATCTTAGAAGTCTTACTCACAGTGTCAGAGGCATTAGAACCAGAGAGACTCCATGTTGAATAGGCGCTGAGTAAAATAAGGCTGAGACCTGCTGGGCTTCATTCCCAGTAGGTTAGGCATTCTAAGTCACAGGATGAGATAGGAGGTTGGCCCAAGATACAAGCCACAAAGGCCTTGATGATAAAACAGGTTGCAGTAAAGAAGCCAGCCAAAGCCCACCAAAACCAAGATTGTGATGAAAGTGACTTCTGGTCATCCTCACTGCTTATTATACATTAATTATAACACATTAGCATGCTAACGGACACTCCCACCAGCACCATGACAGTTTATGTGGCAATGTCCAGAAGTTACCCTATATGGCCTAAAAGGGGGAGGGACTCTCAGTTCCAGGAATTGCCCACTTTTTCCAGAGAACTCATAAATAATTCATCCCACTTGTTTAGCATATAATCAAAAAATAACTATAAGTATAATCAACTGAGCATCCCACACCACCGCTCTGCCTATGGGGTAGCCATTCTTTATTCCTTTACTTTCCTAATAAGCTTGCTTTCACTTTACTGTATGGATTTGCCCTGAATTCTTTCTTACACAAGGTCCGAGAACCCTCTCATAAGGTCTGGATTAGGACCCCATTCCAGTAACAACAGGATAATAATACACTGACTTGCCAATTCTTTCTCATAGATTTTCAACAATGGCAGAGCAGCAATAAGGGTCTAGGTGTTCCTGTATGCAATATCATTCCCATATATGATAGATGTTCAATAATGATTTGTTAAATGGATTAATAGATGAATGAATGAATGAATGAGTGATGCTGCCTTCTGTGTATGCATGCATGTCTTCATTGAGAGCTAATGTCATTGAGAACTAATAATTATAATGACTGTTAATAAAAAGTAATATTAGATATTATGATCAGTTTTCTTAATAAATAAAAATACTTCAGTAACATGACCAAAAAATTTTAATAAAATGTATATTTAATAAATGAAAATATATTTAAATATCTTTAATTATTAAGTGCAAACATGTATTTTGTTTCTGGGCTTAAGAAGCATAAGGGATATATTTAGATGTCACATTAATAACTTTGTCAGTTATTATAAATAGTACTCAAATACTCAAAATATTAATAGATGCTACAAATAGCATAGTATGAAACATGAAAATAAGTTAAGAATCTACACAGTGATTTTCTGTTTCATATTTATTTCCCACCCATGGATTTAGATTGGAATTTGGTAAGATATGAAAAACTAGCAGTTTCCACAAAGCTGTCAATAACTGATTTCATATATTTTTTGTAATTATTTTCTTAATCTTGCAATTTTCTATCACTTGAACTTGCTAAACTTTCTCTAGATATCTGCACTTACCAGCAATTTTTTTGGAAATTGTTATCATCTTTGGATATATTCATCTTTGCTAACTGATGGAACACTAGGTTCTGAAAATTTCAATTATCATATAAAAATTGAAGCTCATGTGAATGTCTTCTGAGGCACATAGTAGTTTTGTAGCCTGTCAGTGTCCTACATATTGACAAATTGACTAAGGATCAGTCTTTACTGTACTTAAATATGTATTAACTTTCTAGATAATTAGATATGTAAGTGTTTAAAACAGAGATGTGTCAATAGAAATCAGAACACCTGTCTTGACTCTCCATATTTCAAAACTAATACACATTTCAGAAAAGAAACCTCTAGTAAAACAGTATTTAGTATTTATATTAGCTTTACGGTCACTTTTACTACTTTTTATGGAAAAAGTCATTGCATTAAGTATTATGTAAATTATATTGTACTTTAAATTTAGTGTAAATTGATTAGAAATATCTTTAATGACAAACAGTAATGGAAATGTTTAAAGTGTTGCTGAAACCGTTGTTTCAGGATTTTGTGTTCAGTATAGATAGCTAAGCAAAACTTATATAATTTTATTCATTAGAAAATTCATCAGAAAAATATAGATTCATTTGGGAGTTTTATCTAAAGGCAGAGGGAAAATTTGTATCCAACTGCCTTTATTTTGATCATGGATTATAAATGTTGCCAAGAACATATAGACATGTAATTCACAGGACTTTCATAGTGTCAGAGAGATGTTTGAGTGTTTATTATTCTAACTGTAAATGCACAATTAAAAAGTGTTTTCCAGTTGAAAGCTGTATAGTCTCTAAATTGGTAACAAGGAACCTCTTTATAAAATGCCCTCACTGTGCATTAATGTATTTATATACTTAAGGAATAAACTTGTAATGTCCACTATGCAGCAAGCTGCACAATATGCCTTGAGTGCATAGTTAAGGAATGCACACATGATTCTTTTCCTGACTGAACCTACTGAGTAGAGGAGGAGCAAAGAAAGTAAGGCAAACTGAGAGAGAACATTTTGCGGACACTTAGGCTGGTCAATTATATCTCTAGGGGACAATAAAAAACCTTCGAATATATAGAAATTATAGAGTTCTTTCTACTGGGTATTAGAAAAAGAAACCCAGTCAAAACGTAAAGCAAAAGCCTGAAAAAATATTATCCATGGAAACTGTTGTGGTTAAATAACTTTTGAAATACAATATAAGACTGATCCATTTGAAGCTAGTAAATATTTTACCAATATTATTTTATAGGATATGGAAAGTCACAGGACACCATTGTTCCCTAACAATAAAGAGCAAACTAAATAAGCTATAAAAAAATGTGTGTGTGTGTGTTGTATATGTGTCGTGTGTATGTGTACACACACAGGTATATATGTAAGCTCATAAGAAAGCTGAGGCAAAGAAATCTACATGAACTAAATTTTGCTTAATGAAAAGGAAATAATGATCATGACAGAAAGAGAGGAAAGGAAAAACCATCTAAACCTTAACAATTCGTAATGACTGTATGTGATCTGGCAGGATGGTTCAGTACTAGGAGTCCCATTCACAGGATAAGGTTACACTGACTTGCCATTTCTGTCTCATAGGTTTTCAACAAAGGCAGAGCTGCAACAAGAAAAAGATGAGGTAAAACATAAGTGTGGAAACACCCAACTTTGGTACATACTATGGTCTAGCTGTAAAATTCATGTGTTAAAACATATTCCCCATGTAACAATAGTAGGAGATAGCATCTTCAGGAGTTTATTAAATCATGAGGGGTCTGTTCTCATGAATGGCATTAGTCCCCCATAAAAGGTATCCCAGATCACTACCTTGCCCCTTATACCATGGGGAGATGCAGAAAGAAGGTGCTATCTATGAGCAATGAGCTCTCACCAGACTCTGAATGTCACCTTGATCTTGGACTTCCAAGCCTCCAGAGCTGTGAGAAATAAGTGTTTGTTGTTCATAAGCCACCCAGTTTATGGTATTTCTGTTATACTAGTTCAAACAGACTACGTGCATATTACATATTACCTTTCAGTGAGTACACTACAATAATAAGACAGGGAATGGGCCAAGGACAGGATGGAAAAGAGGATACTCCAAGGCACACAGAACCTTCAATGAGTGCATAGCAATAGTCCAGCAAAAGCTAAAAGTAGGGCATCATGGTGAGAGGAGATTTCATAAGACATAGAAATTTCCCAAGATATAGGAGTTGGGTTAGATAGCAAAGAGACCATCAGTCTAAAAAGCTGGTGGCTATGTTACAAAGCAGAGAACTCTCCTGTGACAAGAAGAGCTATTGGTTTGTTTTATGTAGAGAGATCAATGGAATCCTACTCATCAAATTCCTAACTCCACCATCAAAATACTAACCAATGTGAAAGAAAAATAAATCTCCACACCCTAAATCACTAAGCCAAAGGGGAAATGTCAAGCTGGGAACTTTATCAGGCAAACCTGCCTCCTATTTTATTCTGTTAAATTTTACCCTGGTGATATAAACTGACAACTTATCTTCACAGGTGCTGGACAGAGGACAGAACTCAAAGTCACCCCTCTGACTCATCTGAGACAAATGCATATCTAATTGCTTCCTCCGTACTATTGTTTACATTATCTTATGTAAAAATGCAGATTCACTGAGCTATATGAAGGCATAAGTGACTATTCCTCTACCCACCTCTCACATGCAAATTGTGCATTCAGTGAAAGGCTAATCAAAGATTCCTCTCTTATCTACTCAAACCTTTTAAAAATTTCTTCCTCTTTCCACAAGGTCTGCCTTTTCCCCTTTAAATATTGAAGCCCTCAAAATCATCTTTGGAGAAAGGCACAGACATGTCTTCTGGGTGCATGTCCTTAACCTTGGCAAAATGAACTTCTAAATTGATTGAGACTCAGGCACTTTTTGGTTTACACCTGTAAGAAACTGAATCTGAACAAAGCTGCAATTAAACCAAAACCCATTTCAACTTCAGATGCAATTGGTTGAACTTCTCAGCCAAGTCATTTTACAGGAGATATGGATATATCCATTGTTGGAATAAATAATATATACTTCAGTCTCTACTACACTTTACATACAATGTTATGCATAAAATAAAAAATAACAAAGCACATGAATAATAAAGAACATGTGACTCATAATCAAGAAGCAAAGTAGGGAATAGAAATGTAACCAAAAGATAGGCGACTCAAACGCTCAAGTTGGCAAACAAAACTTTCAAATAACTTTTATCAATGTATTAATAGATGTTACAGAAAAGTAGAAAAAAATTTGTGAAACAGTTGATGAATTTCACCAGATAAATGGAACATCCCCTTGAAAAGTGAACGTAAAAAATGTGGAACTGAAAAGATATATTGTCAGAATTGAGTATGATTTTTCTTCTATCAGTAGAAAAGACACAGGCTTAGGTATGTAGTCAAAGATGCATGCTGACCCCACTAATTGCAGAGCTTCATGGCTGCTTTCCCAGTGGTTCTCAACAGGGCACGATTGTCATTTTGGGCTGTACAATAATTTCTTATATAATATAGTTTTGTAATGATTAATCCAGAATATTTTACTGATACTAAGATAAAAAATGCCACTACTCATTTACAAAGCTTCTACTTAAGAAGCAGTGCACTTAATTTAATATTGTCATTCACAAAAAGCTGGAAACTTGTACTAATCTATTTTCTGTTATTCACCCATCATGTGACTTTCAGTACTTTCAACAAATACTTTTTTAAAGTCATTTTTAACTTGAATGTCTTCTGTTTTAGCTAATTTTTGTGTTTATTACTTTCCGTTTAAAGAAGTACCTTCGTAAGTTTATCCTGACTATACTTACTTAACAATGACAATAGTATATCTAAAATTTATTTTTATTCTTTGTAGTTGCAAAGTGATCTAACCTCATTTTCTAATTTAAGCTTCATTCCAACTCTGTAAGATAGGAATTTTTAATCTATATTTAATAGATAAAATGTGTTCCTAAGTTTCACTTGACAAGATCTTACAGGTATTAAGTTGTAGAAGCTTACTTGAAAACCAAATCTTATCCTTTAGTGAAGTGTTTTACTGCAAGTGTTACACGCATTCAAAACATTTTAATAGCATAAAATTTAGTTATTGATTTGTATAAAATTTATATTTTTGTATAAATAAATGTTGAATCGTAAAATTGCTGTTATACTCTGGAATACAGCCTCTATAATATCACTACTATCACCCTAAATATTTTTGACAAGTTACATTAACTTTGATTTTCCTCCCCTGATAAATAATTTGGGCTTACTTTAGTAAGTGGTTAAAAAAAAAAAAAAGCTAACATCTAAACCTATCCAGACACTGCTGAATACTGATATTATACATTTCAATTACCTATCTGCAGATATAGTTTTTCTGTGTCCCCACCCAAATCTCACCTTGAATTCCCATCTGTTGTGAGAGGGACCTGGTGGGAGGTAATTGAATCATGGGGGCAGGTCTTTCCCATGCTGTTGTTGTGATGGTGAATAAGTCTCAGGAGATCTGATGGTTTTAAAAATGGGAGTCTCCCTACACAAGCTGTCTATTTGTCTGTTGCCATCCAGGTAAGACATGAATTACTCCTCCTTCTGCCATGATTGTGAGGCTTCCCCAGTCACGTGGAACTGTAAGGCCATTATAAACTTCTTTTGGTTTATATAGACTGCCCAGTCTCACATATGCCTTTATCAGCAGTGTGAAAATGAACTAACACAGTAAATTTGTACCAATAGGATGAGGTGCTGCTGAAAAATACCCAGAAATGTGGAAGCAACTTTGGAACTGGCTAACAGGCAGAGGTTGGAGCAGTTTGGAGGGCTCAGAAGACAGAAAAATGTGGGAAAGTTTGGAACTCCCTAGGGACTTGTTGAATGACCTTGACCAAAATGCTGATAATAATATGGACAGTGAAATCCAGGCTGAGGTGGTCTCAGATAGAGATGAGGAATTTTTGGGAACTGGAGCAAAGGTGACTCTCGTTATATTTTAGCAACAAGATTGGCAGCATTTTGCCCCTGCCCTAGAGATTTGTGAAACTTTGAACATGAGAAAGATGATTTAGTGTATCTGGTGGAGGAAATTTCTAAGCAGCAAAGCATTCACGACATGACTTGGGTGCTGTTAAAGGCATTCAGTATTAAAGGGGAAATAGAGCATAAAAGTTTGGAAAATTTGCAGCCTGACAATGTGATAGAAAAGAAAATCACATTCTCTGAGGAGAAATTCAAGCTGGCTGCAGAAATTTGCATTAAGTAACAAGGAGCCAAATGTTAATCGTCAAGACAATGGGAAAATGTCTCCAGGGCATGTCAGAGGTCTTCACAGCAGCCCTTCCCATGACAGGCTCAGAGGCCTAGGAGGAAAATTGGTTTCATGGGCTGGGCCCAGGGTCCCTGTGCTGTATGCAGCCCAGGGCCTTGGTGCTCAGCATCCCAGCAGCTCCAGCCATGTCTGAAAGGGGCCAACATAGAGCTTGGGCCGTGGCTTCAGAGGGTGCAAGCCATAAGCCTTGGCAGCTTCCACAAGGTGTTGAGCCTGCAAGTGCACAGAAGTCAAGAATTGGGGTTTGGGAACCTCTGCGTAGATTTCAGAAGATATATGGAAATGCTTGAATGCCCAGGCAGAAGTTTGATGCAGAGATGGGACGCTCACGGAGAACCTCTTCTAAGTCAGCGCAGAAGGGAAATGAGGGATCGGAGCCCCAGTACAAAGTCCCTACTGGGGCACCACCTAGTGGAACTGTGAGAAAAAGTCCACTGTCCTCTAGACCCCAGAATAGTAGAACCACCTACAGCTTGCACCTTTCTCCTGGAAAAGCCACAGACACTCAGTGTCAGCCTGTGAAAGCAGCCGGGAGGGAGGTTGTGCCCTGCGAAACCACAGGGGTGGAGCTGCCCAAGCCCATGGGAATCCACTTCTTGCATCATCATGACCTGGGTGTGAGATCTGGAGTCAAAGGAGATCATTTAGTAGCTTTAAAATTTGACTGCCCTGCTGTATTTCGGACTTGGATGGCCCTGTAACCCCTTTATTTTGGCCAATGTCTCTCATTTGGAATGGCTGTATTTACCCAATACCTGTACCCCCATTGTATCTAGGAAGTAACTAACTTGCTTTCGATTTTACAGGCTCACAGGCAGAAGGGACTTGCCTTGTCTCAGATGAGACTTCAGACTGAACTTTTGGGTTAATGCTGAAATGAGTTGAGACTTTGGGGGACTGTTGGGAAGGCACGATTGGTTTTGAAATGTGAGGACATGAAATTTTGGAGGGACCAGGGGTGATGATATGGTTGGGCGGATCCCCACTCAAATTTCAACTTGAATTGTATCTCCCAGAATTCCCTTGTATTGTGGGAGGCACCCAGAGGGAGGTAATTGAATCATGGGGGCAGATCTTTTCCATGCTGTTCTTGTGATATTGAATAAGTCTCACGAGATCTGATGGTTTTAAAAGCAGGAGTCTCCCTGCACAAGCTGTCTCTGCCTGCTGCCATCCATGTAGCATGTGACTTTCTCCTCCTTGCCTTCCACCATGATTATGAGGCTTCCACAGCCAAGTGCAACTGTAAGTCCATTATAAACCTCTTCTGTAAATTCTCCAGTCTTGGGCATATTTTTACCAGCTGAGTGAAAACTGACGAATATACCTACAGATAAAACAAGGGGAGCAAATGAACTCCATAAAATCTATGTAATGCTCTCTACTTCCAAATAGCTACTCTTTAAAGTCATCAGTTAAAAACTTTATTTGGCAAGAATTAGTCTAATAGGTGCTATTCTCTATGAGCAGCATGAAGAGGCGGGCAGGATATAGTTCTAAAGGGAACAGTTTTTCAGCACCTCCTAAGGTAGGTTGTTAAGATTGTCACTTTATTGTGTTGGCTTGACACTCTGAATTCCCACAATGCCTAATCTACACCAATGAAAATGTAAATATAAAAATAACAGGTATTTCCTTAGGCCACCAGCCTAGAGGTAGAGTAACTGTGTAAATTAATAACATACAATGATCATGTGTCTTCATCATCCAATTTTCTCCTTTCAGCATTGAAAAGTGGAAATGGCTGTTCTGGTGGCTAAATTTCTTTTCTTCCCAACTCCCATTCCCCATAATTCCTGCAGGTATTTCTATTTCTAAATAGCTACATTGATTCTTGATTGACTTTGCTAATGTCACTGAGAGAATTGGTATACTTCCCAGAGAATTCATGCAAAAAATTTGTGCATCCATAGATAATTGTATTGCTATTGTCTGTGTATTTGAAGAAACTCTTGACAAAATGTCTTCTTTCCATTCTGGCCTGGGAGCCTGCCACCAGAAAAGAGCCATAAGAAGTCAATATATTGTCCTAAACAAAACCAGGTGCTTTACAGCCATAAAAGCATTATCCCTTTACTATGTGTTCCCTCTCAGTCACTGAGCCCCTCACTCACTGAATTAGTGCTATCTGGGTCTTTTCATAGTAAGAGTTACTCTTAAAACCACTGCCCTTTCTCTGCACCAGACACTAATATGATTCACATTGATTTTTCTTTTTGTTCCCCTTTTCTTCATTCTGTTGTCAGACATCAGGATCCAGATATGATGTAGGGTCAAAAACTCTGCTTCCAGTGTTGGGGTTTATTTTTTGAAATCGAATCCATATATTGTTTCATTAAAAAGTTAACCTCTGAGCAACTTTTAAAACTTAGACCATTTCATTTTTTTTTTTTTCACAGAGAATGAAAAATTTCACCTCCACTTAACATTTTATTTTCAAGGTTATATATATGCCTGTTTTAATATTGTATTACAAGTAAGGTTTTTTTTTAAGATAATTGACAGCAGATTTTTAAAACAGGATTTTAAAATATATTCAATTCTGTAAAGTCAGTTTTTTCTATATTTTTGAAAAAATATAGAAAATGTAATTTATCAAAATATTTATTTTCCCTATTAGTATTTATTTACATGCTTATGGGAGCTTTTATAGACAATACAATACTCTTAATTAGCAGTGGAAAGGGGAAGAAAGATAGGACAGGAACAAAGGACGTAGACTCTGTTTTTCTTTCTCACTTTGCTGTTTATAAATAGTGAAAATGAACAGAGTAAAAATTCTTTGAAATTAACATTGAACATCCTACATATACCTGAAAAATAAATATACAGCAGGAGGGTAGACAGATGAGGTGAGGGCTTTAAGGGTAGCTCTGAAGTCACCTGCAAAAAAGGCATGCAGGCAGCAAGGAATAGGTTAACTACTTCACTCAGAAGTATTTCAATTTAGTTGAAGCCAGGAAGACACTTGTCTAAGCGTTTTCCACAACCAGTAATTAGGGAATGGAATGAGCTATTGGCTTTAGGGAAAAGAGATGGAAAGGGGCTTTGTAAGTTAGAGGAGAGGAATGAACACTAAAGGAGATAGAGGGAGACATTTGAATAAACAAATATATCAAAAGAGATTTTTTAGAAAAAGATGTTTAAACCTTATCTATGTGTGAAGAGTATTGAGTATAGATACACTATTGTCTGGAAAGGGCAAGGATATGATGGCAGTAAACGAGATATAAGAGAGAAAAGCTTATCATAGGCTGAGAGCTACAGCAACAGAGAGGGAGAGTAGTTAAATATATTTTCAAAAAAATAAATACCAAAACTCAGGAGATATGAAGTGGAGAGAGTTTCAGGATCGGTGAGCCTTTCAAATTGAAAGCAAAATGTTGTATACATATGCATATATTCATTTCTGTGGCATAAAGAGCAATGGATTTTTATCAGATTCTCAGAGGGAATTGGGCTTTTATTATCGAATATAAAGAATAATGAAGGAGCAGAGATCAAGAAGGAAAAACGAGAAAACTGGTATTGAAAGTGATGGTACATATGGAAAAGTGTGTTGAATTAGAGGTGAAGCAATCAAGTTTACTTTTAACCGATTCTGTTTCTTTAATTCCTTTATCAAAAATATGCTAACAAAAGGAAAAGAGTAAAAAGTAATTCTGGGAATATGTCACTGATATTTTTGTTTGCATTATAATATATACACTGTTTTAGCTATTTTGGTGTACTGAAATCTTCAATATTTCAGTTTCATTATGTTCAGAGAAGCACCATAAATGTCTCTTTCCCCATCATAAGCTTTTGCATCCTGCCCACTTGTTTAAATGACCTTTTTAAATATGGCATTACAGATGGGATTTATTTTTATGAATACATAGTAAGTGAGTAACTAACAATCAGATTTCAGTATGAGTGGGAAGATAATGGAGTAGGGAAAATTGAACCCACGACAATTAAGCACATTGTAATGATCACAGATAAGATGGTAACTGACCATTTCAAGGGAAACTCAGAGGCTGATCAGTCTTTGGTTGAATCATCAAATTACAGGATCAAAAAAATAATTTAACAATTTAAACACTTCAAATTTCAAAGGCCCTAATTGCTAAACGTGAATGACAATTAATTTCTCTCCCTGAAAATATATCTGGCATGATAATGGAAAATACTTTTCTAAAGTGGAGAGATGTTAAGAACTTACTTAAGAGACCAATTAATAGGCCAAAAGTAATTAGGTAAATGTGTTAAACAGAATCCAGGTTTTCCCCAAAGATCATCTGCTCTCTCTGGTGTATATGTCCTGAGTAATTCCCTGGTGGAATATAATGGTTCGTGCTACCAGGATTAGGTTTGGTTATTTGGCACTGTTGATTTTTAGGTAGAGAGGTTTTTCTGGGTTAACCTGATCTAATCATATGAACCTGTAAAAGTATAGTTTTTCTCCAGAGAGTTGTAGAAGAGGAAATCAGATATTTGAAGCAAGAGAGGAATTCACTGAGCCCTTGCTGGCTTTAAGATGAACAAGGTCACGTGAAAAGGATCAAAGAGCTAAGAACGACCTCCAGCCTAGAGTCAGCAAGAAAAGGGGATATGAGTCCTACAACTGCAAAGAAATGAATGCTGTCAACAACAAGAATTATTTGTGAGGAGATTTTTCCCAGGAGGCTCTGAGGAAAACAGCCTGACTGACACCTTGATTTTGATTTCAGGAATGGTGAGCTAGACTTGTGACCTACAGAAGTGGAAGGTAATACATGGATTTTGTTTCAGGCTGCTAGCTTTGTGGAATTACATATTAGAGTAACTCTTTATGTTTCTTGTGTTAATATTGTCTTAGTCAGTGAATATATGCAGATTTAGGTGAGAAACATCTATTTCCCACCACATCCCCATCTTTTGGGAAGCACCTCAAGTTTTCCTTGGGAATCTATCATTCTCTGCCATATATTGATACCTTAATTTGCATGGGATTGACCCCACCTCAGCTCCAGGGGTGAAGGCATAATGAATATAATTAATCCTAATCTTATCCCGTGCAATTATTTTAAATTTATGCACGTGTTCTAGGTAGATCTCATCAGAGCAGTCTTCAGAATTTTTCTTGAAGGTCCTTGGAAACAAATGACCTCTTTGCAGCCAGACATGAGTGAGGAAGCTTATGGTTCTGGGCGGCTTATAACATTTTTGATAAAATAAGGAAAGATTCTGCCCATGGCACCAATCCGAAGGAAATAAAACCAGGAAATAGGGAAAGTAACTGAAGGTTAAGTGAAATTACTTGAATAACAGACAAATCCCTGCCAAGTCCACAACCAGGCAATTACATGAGCCAATAATTCCCTTCATTATTTAAGTCCACTTGGCTCTCCTTTCTCCTATTTACAACCAAAATCCTCCTACAATAGTCAATGATCTTCACTCTGAGACTCTTTCTATCTAATTACAAGAAGAATAATTTTGAATCGGAATGCATACTCCCTGAATTTCTCCAAAAGTGATCCTGACAGATTTTTTAGCTCTGATTTCCTTTCCTTGTTTCAGTTACCAAATGCTTCTGTCATTCAGCATTACCTGACTTTAAAGCTGATGATATTAGTTTATTTTTTATTACGAGCATTTCAGATTGATGTCTTCCTGATAAATCCAGAGAGACATTTTATCATTGATATATTTTAAAAGTGTGTCTTAGAATGGACCCCAGAAAGATCCCTACAGATGACCAAGCTCTCGTTTATTTTTTACTGTTAGAATCGAGACCAAAAACATATTTTATTCTAAGGCAAATGGTTTGCAAAATCTGAGCTCTAATTATAGACCACTGTACCCAAGCAGTATTGAAAATAGTGTTAGTTTGAAAAGTACAGAACAATCTAAGTGTACAGACAGTTATACAGTTTTTGAGGTTCTGTAAATCCCTTTATTGTCAGCTAGGATTAAAGAAAATCTCCAAATAAACATAACACGTTCTCATATTTTGTTTTATTGTTTTACATGCAACTATTGTTTTCTTTTAAACTGGTTTTCTTACTTATTTTTTCATTGGGTTTTTAGATCAAGCTAGAGATAATGGGGAAATTCCTGCATGTCACTGCCAACTATAAAATCCACCATACAAAACAATATTTAAAATATTCAGAATGTACTTATTCAAGAAGAGATACATGAATGAGTCAAGAGACATGTAATTTACTGATTAATGGCTATAAATTTAGGAAAGAAAGGTAAGAGCAGTCCATGTGTTATTTGCTTATCTACTGTTATGTCAGCACATTGTCTTGTATTTGCATCTGTTTTGCTAAATTTGTAGCTAAATTAAATAGAAAGGATTTTCTTATTCACCATGTATACCTGAGCTGTGAGCTGTAACCAAATAAAAATTATCTGTATTTTCTATGTTTCTGAGTAGAAATGATAAAGATATTAATTGCATGCCTTCTTTACTATTTTGTTTATAAAACTAAATGAAATAAATGAAAGCTGCTTGATTTTGAAAGAAACAAAATAAAATGGGAAAGGAGTAGAATGTTCCCTTTACCTCTATCATAGATCTGTTCTAATATTATATGAGGCATTGTAAAAGAAGACACCTGGGTTGAGGTGAGAAGAATGTATGCCCCCAAAAACTTGGTTCACTTCATGATATGTGGCTTGCTTATCTGGCAAAGACCCTGGATAGTATATTGCACAGTGAAACTCCTTTGTGAGTTGTAGAAACATTTTGACCTAACAGACAAGTTTTGAAAACATAAATTGCTCCTATAAATACTTCGTTTTCTTCAAAGCAATACTCTAGCCATTTTGCACTGGTAGCATTGGACATTGCTTCATCCCATTCTCATTGTATATTTATATTACCAACAAAAAGGCATGAATTTTGTTCCAAAACATAAAACTTTAACATTCCTAAAAACTCTTAACTAAATAAATTCTAAGGACTGGTATTTACTACATTTAGGGATATACTACATTTTACTGATTGCTAAAAATTAGTAGTATTGATCAACACATTTTCACACCTGTTCTTGTAGCTTCTGTACTGAACATATGGCTAAGTCTGGTCTCTGCTCACTGGGCTTTTGTGTGCATTGTTTAGTATAAATCTGGAAAAAAGTATTGCCAAAAGCAGGAAATCAAATTATCTTAATTATTTTTATGTTTTATTGGTAAACCCAAAGCCCTGTAATATGGTTATCTTTTTCCTGGATTTGTTATGTTAATCCCTTTAATTAAACCTTAAAGCCACAATATGCTGGCATTTAAAAGCTGCTGACTGAATCAAAGCCAAAGAGCTTACAGAAAACAGATGACACATTTTCCCCCCAGGCCAGTCTCAATATCCTAACTTCAGCTTTAAGAGGCCTAGACAGCTGAAGTGGTTCTCAGTACCCTCTCTCTGGGAATGCAAAGCGCAGAGGCAGTGACTGTCCTCCTGGGGCCATTTAGCAATACTTCTTACTGACTCCAGGAAAAAAAAACTAGCAGGGTGGGGCTGCCATTCTCTATGATATACTTGGATATTTGGACAAGGACTGCTTTTAGCTAGTATACATTAATTCTTTTTCTATTTTCTCACTCAAATAGAAAGCCAAAAATATTATGTAACAAGAAACACACACACACACACACACACACACATACAAATACACACACACACACACACACACACACACACTCTGCTATGGACTTAATTGTGTCTCCCTAAAATTCATATGTGGAAGCCCTAGCCCTGATGAGCTGGTGGTGTTTTGAGATGGAACCTTTGGGACATAATTAGGTTCACATGAGATAATGAGAGTAGGCTTTCATGATGGGATTAATGCCCTTATAAAAAGAGATAGCAAACAGCTGTTTCTTTCTCTCTCTCTCTCTCTCTCTCTCTCCCCCTCTCTCTGTCTCTCTCTCTCTCCTATTTGAGGACAGAGTGAGATGGATAGGCCACCATCTACAAGCCACAAACAGAGCCCTCATCAGGAACTGAATTGGCCAGCACCTTGACCTTGGACTTCCAACCTGCCAGAACTGTGAGAACATAAATTTCTCTTGTTTCAACTACCGAGTCTCTGGAATTTTGTTATGGCAGCCTGAGAAGACAACTGAGACACACAAATACCAAACATGGGGAAATATTTGGAAAATTAAAATAATGAAAAATTCAAACTCTTCTTGGCAGTGAACCAAAATTTAGTTTTCTGGCACACTTTGGAGTCACTATGTAACATTGGTTGTTATAAAATAGAAGAAAGAATCAGGTAAATAAAGTAGATTGTACCTTAGATTTGTTCTGGAAACCACCAAGCAGAATACATCATAACACATAGTCTTACATTACAATAAAACTATAATATTAACAAGTTCTAGTGTAAATCATTTAATACATACAGACTATCAGTATTCAACCAAACCAAAATTTGCTCTTAGGAAGTAGTGTTTAAATTGTCTTCTTCTGTGTCCCACCAGTTCAATCAATTGCTTAATCCTTTTGATTCTAGGTGTTTATGCTTATCCCTATTGCCTCTGCTCTTGTTAAGGCTGTGAGAAACATATATCATATGAATTCTCCTAGAGAAAAGATCTACTTTTAATATTCCTTCTTTAAAAACATCTAATAGTCAACAATATAGTTCTTAAAATTCTTCTGTCTAAACTTCAAAACATTTGATAACTGTCTTAACCTCTATTTCAGAACTTATCGATGACACCAACTTTATACATATACTGGATTCCAGTCAAATAGAAAATCTTTTTCCAAATGCACCTGCAGCTGGTGATTGTACACTTCCTTCATAAACACTTTTCTCCCTATTAAAGTCTGTAGATAGTCTACCTAACCCTTAAAACTTATTGAAATTCCATTTTAAATAAAATATGCATTTACTTATCACATACTATGTATCATATCTTTTAAGGCACAACCTTTGAGGCTCAGAAGCTTAAAAATGAACATACACAGAAAAATGTAAACATAAATTTGATTATTTTTATAAATACTAGAAATAGATAATACAGTATATGTAATATATATAACAGAAGCCAAATGTCTATACGGACATACCTCATTTTATTGTGCTTCACTTTATTGTGCTTTGCAGATATTTTATTTTTTACAAATTGAAGATTTTTGGCAACAGTGCATTCAGCAAGTCTATCAGCACCATTTTCCCAACATGGCCTTCCTTTGTGCCTCTGTGTCACATTTTGGTAATTTCTACAATATTTCTTTTCCATTATTGTAATATCTGTTACAGTGATCTGTGATCAGTAATCTTTGATATAATTATTGCAATTGTTTTGAAGCACACTAAGCATGCCCATATAAGATGGGAAACTTAATTGAAAAATATTGTGTGTGTTCTCACTGCTCCGCCAGCATGTAGTTTCCTTGTCTCTCCCTCTCTTTGGGTCTTCCTATTCCTTGAGACACAACAATATTGAGAGTAAGCCAATTAATCACCCTGTAATAGCCCAATAGCCTCTAAATGTTCAAGTGAAAGAGAGTCACACTTACCTCACTTTAAGTCAAAAGCTAGAAATGATTAAGCTTAGTGAGAAAGGCATGTCAAAAGCTGAGATAGGCTAAAAGCTAGGTCTCTTATGCCAAACAGCCAAATTTTGAATGTAAAGGAAAAGTTCTTAAAGAAAATTAAATATACTACTCCAGTGAATACACAAATAATAAGGAAGCAAAACAACTTTATTGCTGGTATCAAGGAAGTTTTAGTGGTAGGATAGAAGATCAAACCAACCCTAACCTTTCCTTAAGGCAAAGCCTAATACATAGCTAGGCCCTAACTCTCACCAATTCTAGGAAGACTGAGAGAGGTGAGGAAACGTCAAAAGAAAAGTTTGAAGCTAGCAGAGGTTGGTTCATGAGATTTAAGGAAAGCCTTCACAATAACCTAATAGTGTAAGATGAAGTGCAAGGTGATGTAAAAGCTGATGTGCTGATATAAAAGCTGCAGCAAGTTTTCCAGATGATCTAGGTAAAAGAGCTGATGATGGCGACTACACTACATAATTGATTTTCAGTGTAGATACAACTGCCTTGTATTTGAAAAAGATGCCATCTAGGACTTTCATAGCTAGAGAGAAGTCAATGTCTGGCTTCAAAACTTCGAAGGACAGGCTAACATTCTTATTAGGAGCTAGTGCTGCTGGTGACTTTTAACTTGAAGCCAATGCTTATTTGCCATTCTGAAAATCCTAGGGCTCCTAAGAATGATGCTAAATATACTCTGTCTGTGCTCTATACGTGGAACAACAAAGCCTGGATGACAGCACATCTGTTTATAGCATGGTTTACTGAATATTTGAAGTCCACTGTTGAGACATACTTCTCAGAAAAAAATGATTTCTTTCAAAATATTACTGCTCATTAACAATGCGTCTGGTCACCCAAGAGCTCTAATGGAGATGTACAAGAAGATGAATGTTGTTTAAATGCCTGCTAAAACAACATCATTCTTCAGCCCATGAATCATGGAGGAATTTTAACTTTCAAGTCTTCTTGTTTAAGAAATACCTTTTGTAAAGTGTAGCTTCCTTAGATAGTGATTCCTGGGATGAATCTGGGAAAAATTAATTGACAACTTTCTGGATAGCATTCATGATTCTAAATGCCTCTAAGAACATTTATGATTAGTGTGCGGTGGTCAAAATATCAGCATTATGAGGAGTTTTGGAGAAGTTGATTCCAACCTTCATGGATGACTTGAAGGATTCAAGACTTCAATGAAGGAAATAACTGTAGATGTGGTGGAAATAACCAAAGAAAGATAATTAGAAATGGAGCCTGAAAATGTGATTGAAATGCTGTGATCTCATGATAAATTTGAACAAATAAGGTGTTGCTTCTTATCAATGAGCAAAGGAAGTGGTCTCTTGAAATGCCATCTACTCCTGGTGAAGATGCCCCGTTGAAATAACAGCACGGGATATATAATATTACATAAACTTAGTTGATAAGGCAGTGGGCAGGCTTTGGGAGGATTGATTCCAATTTTGAAAGAAGTTCTACTGTGGCAAAAATACTTTCAAACAGCATCCCATACTACAGAAAAATCTTTTGCAAAAGGAAGAGTCAATCAATGTGGCAAACTTGATTGTTGTCCTAATCTTAAAAATTGCCACAGTTACCCTCATCCTTAGCAACCACTACACTGATCAGCCATCATCCATCAACATCAAGGAAAGACCCTCCACTAGCCAAAAGACTACAACTCACAAAAGGCTCAGATGATCCTTACCACCAGGTTTTAGCAATAAAGTATTTTCAAATTAAGGTATGTACTATTTTTAGACATAATGCTGCTGCACACATAACAGATTACAGTATAATGTAAACATAACTTTTATATGTACTTTGGAGACTCAGAAAAATTCCTATATCTCACTTTATTGTGATGTTTGCACTATTGTGGTAGTCTGGAACATAATTCATATCTCTAAGATATGCCTGAAATATATAATAGAAGCCAAATGAAGGGGATGGCTGGGAAAGAATTAAAACAGAAATGGTGTTCTACTGGTGGACAAAGAATACCATTTAGTCATATGTTATAAAAATTTTACCGGTAAAGACATGGATAAAAAGAAAATAATAATGGTAATGTTTGAATTTGTCCAGGTAGTTCCAGATATGTCAAAAACTATTGAGAATAGGGTTGTAAGGCTAGTCCAGCCCTACAAAATAAAAAACAAAAACAAATAGTGTGCATAAAACAGATCTTAATAAGACTATTTAAAATTTAGGACATTTCACCAACTTTGAAGGTTTTAGGTTTACTTTTTCAAATCTGTTTTATATAATATCAAAAATACTAAAATACTGTCATGTTCTACAAAAAATAATTTTTATATGAAGTTTGTGTTGAGTTGCAGTTAATTGACATCACGTTTATAAAAATTAAATTAACATTTACTAAAGCCAATTTTGCTCACTTTTCAAATAACTTTATAAAATCTTGAAAAGCTTAAAAGACCTGGACGCTATGAACATTATATGGAGAAAATTACTCTGGCACATGTGGTAGTATTCATTTAAAATTTTTAATGAGTAAATACTATACTCAGATTATGTTTCAATAAATCATTTTAGTGGAATGCATGCAGATAGGCTAAAAGGAAACAAGAAAACATGTCATAATGGCTGCTTCATTAAACTACTATTGTGTGACATGTTTTCTTCCCCTCAACTTTTATAGCACTTTGGGGGATCCCTCTTCTGGTTATGATAGAATAGCTTATAGTACGTGAATCCTTTCACCAAAACCAAAGAAAAAGCCGAAGTAAACACTAAAATAATTAATTTTTGAAGGCATTGAAGAACTGCCAAGGCAGTTAAAGCTTGGGGAGTGAAAATCACAGACATGTTCATTAAAATACACCTAATACTCTTTACATCGCGTAAACTACCCAGAGCTAGAGGCTAAGATGCCTGTTAGAACATGGCTAAAAAGCATAGCATAATATTAATCAGTTCCTTGATTATGAATGGCTAAAATACTAAATATCTACCAGGAGAAGAAACTCTATAAACATTCCAAAGTGTAAGTTGAGATTTCTAGAAGGAATTGGTATAAATATGAGATGGAGCAGAGGTTTATAGAATTTTGAAACATTTCAGATCTCAATTACACTATGGAGATCTCTAGATGCCTGGAAGACAGTAGGATAAATTTTTTCTAGCAGAAGGCAAAATTATCTATAGCTGCAACATTTTAAAATATAAAATGCCTGCTATTCATTTGAAAAACATCAGATAAGTAAAGAAAGCGAAATAGGCAATAGAAATAGATCAAAGGTGATTCAGATAATGAAGTGACTAAACTTGGACTTTAAGATAACTATGAATAATATGTTCAAGAAGATAACAGGGTATAGAATTTTATCAGATAATTGGATAAATAAAAATATTCAAACAGAAATTCTAGAAATGAAAAACGTAATAACTAAATTAAGAATTCAGTAGATATGATTAAGAGCATTTTAGAAAAAGCTAGAAAAGAAGAATAACTTGAAAATAGGTCAGTAGAGAGTATTCAAACTAAAGAACAGAATTAAAAAGAAACTGGAAACTATGTGGTGTGGGAGGCGGCTTGCTGAAAAATCAAACAAATCTGTAATTAGAATCCAGTATAATAAGAATAGAGAATGTCAAAGAAGTAATATTTGAAGAGATAAGATCTGAAATTTCTCTATGGCTGAATAAAGACATTAAGGACTAGATTTCAAGAAATGCTATGAGCCCAAAAAGAATAAGTAAAAGGGAACTCATTCCAGACACAGCAAATAAAACCATTGAGAATCAAATTTGGAAAGAAACTTTTAAAAACCCGAGAAGGAAAGACACATTATGTTCAAATGGGAGAAACAAAAGACTGTGCTTAGATTTGCCCATGAAGTATCTACACATTTCAAAAGATTAAATACATTCACAAAAATTATCTTACCATAGGAAAGATAGAAATAATGAATAGGGTAACAATTTAAAATTTGTAAATATAAGGAAATTAACAATATAGTTCTAAACATCTTCAAAATAAAAACAACATTAAAAATAAACATTTTGAACATAATGATAGAATGATTATCATTTTAATATTTTAAGATAATAAAAATATGGCATATTAAGGCCAATCTTTCTTATGAGCATAGAGGTAAAAGTTCTCATTAAAATGTGAGCTGAAAGTATACACATGTAAATAATAATGCTTCCAAGCCAAATTGGTTTAACTTCAAGAAGTCAACATTGATTAAAGATTTTTATACCAGTCAAAATAATTATTTACGTTTATAAAATGAAAAAATCTTCATGCATTTAGGTGAAGAGAAGGCATTTTACAAAATTCTACATAAACTCATTGTCATTAAAATTCTTAGCAAAGTAGGAATAAAGGGCAATGCCAAACTCTGATTAAACAACATAGCCAAGATCATAATTAATAGTGAAACACTGGAAGAATTTCCTACGAGGTCAGGAAGAAGACACAGATATATACTATCACCACTACTATTGAACTTTGTACTTGGGGCCCCTGTCATTGCAAAGAGTCAAGGAAAAGACAGAAAATATATGTATTGGAAAAGAATAAATGAAAATTTGACCTAAGTTGTATTCTATGCGATGCCAGGCTAGTAGAGTTCTCTTAGAATTATATTGTGAAAGAGGGTAGGAAAACTAACGTAACCTGGAAGCAAGACTGTAAATGTATACTGTTATCTATTGCAAGTGAATGAAACTTTCTCTGATCCTCATTTTTGGTAGGGATAGAAATAATACATTCTCTTGATCAATGGCTGCCTATCTTGTGTCACAGGTCATGCTAAAATACTTTAGAAAAGACACCATTTCTAAAACAGCTGCTGTAATTGGTTCTAATACTTGCATGAACTTATGGTCACCTTGCAAGCTCTGCCTTGTTTCTTTAATGGCTAGATTGGTAAAAATAAATGAAAACATGATGGGAATCATCACCCTTCATCCTTTGGGCTTATATAGGGATGTCTCTAATTTGTGCCTTTTCTCCTGGGATGCATTATTTTTAAATTAAATTTATGATCTCAGCCAGGAAGGATCAGTGTTAGACACTTCCATTTGGCCTTCCACACTATGATTGCATTGGGAGAAACAAGCACCAGGTGGGTCTGCCAATTCAGTGGAATAACCATGATCCTGGACTTTGCATCATGTGACCCTCATGTATCCCTCTCAAACCAAGGGCCCATAATGACACCTCAGTTTTCAAAGTACCAATGTTTCCTCAAACCCTGTGTCTAATAGGTCTTAAAATATTTTGTGTTCTCATTTAACCAGTGCACAGTTTCCAGAATAATTTGCTATAAATAGCTTTAGGAAAGGGCTGGAGTAATCATGACTATATGCACTTGTCATGACATTGCAATACCCTTTCTCCTGTAGACCTGATCTCACTTTCAGACAGAAGTTTCCAGGTCCCAAACAAGCCTTTGTCCAGAAACTTGGCAAGAAATTATGACTTTTTGTTTTATTAACTTCCTTCAACCTTCTGAGAATCTATTTTTTATTTTCTTTTGTTGAACCAAATTATTAACAGTAGTGCCTTTACTGGCCGTTTATCTATTTTGTCCCCAACATCATCGTGGTATGTTAACCTTCTCCATAGCTCTCTGCTGCTCAAACTCCCTTAGCTGCTTCTGTGATCTTACTATACATTAAAATATTTGCCTCTCTTTGACTCTGAATGACCCATCCTATATATTTATCAAGTCCTATTATCATCATTGTTGTCAGTAAAGCCAGTTCTGAAATAGCATTTCTTCCATCAGGCCTGGCCAATAGAGCAAAGTTAACTTCTCTTTGGTGTGAGTGCCCGTCTCCAGCACATTCTGCCTTGCTTTGGTAACTGCTGTATCCACCAGGCCTTTTTGTGAAACACAGGGCTCTGGTGACTTTTCTGGTCTTACATAGTACATCTACTCAAATATGCTCACATCTTTAAACCGTAGAATTCCTTCTTCTAACATTTACCACAGCAATTCTGACATTTCTACCACATCTAGTAAGGACAAACAGATTTTTCATACTTCTGAGGGCTATCATACTTTAGAGTTCAATATTTTATACCATAACATTGATCAAACTGTTTCACAATACGTTTCCATGCATATCATCTCAGCTCCTGTAGTTTTATGCTACCCAGGTCCTGCATCTTTGGGACACAGTCTCTGATCTTTTAAATCAAGTGTAGTATGTCCCTAGTTGGGTTATGTTATTCATTACACATGCTTATTTCGAAATGTATGAGAAACACATTGTGGTAGCTACTCATGGGAGGAATACGTTCTTTGGAAAAAGAGGCTTCTGCATCATCTTCAAACAACAGGAGAGTGCCAATCCTTAAGAGGGAGACTGGTCAATTTTGTAGGATTCAATATCTCATATAAATCTACAGATGTTTTAGTTTTGTAAAGCAAACCACGTAAAAAAAAAAGCATGGGGTATTTAGTTTGTAAAATTATTTTAATGCAATTAGTAATGAGAGTTAAAAAAAGTATTCTAGATCCTATTACATTACTGAAGATTTTTCAGATGACATTTAGATAAAAATATTTAGGTACTGGGTTGTTTTTAATATATTCATTTTACTGTGCCTTCACTGGCTATCTCTCTATTTTGTCCCTAACATCATCATGCTATGTTAATCTTCTCCACAGCTCTCTGCTGGTCAATCCCCCTTGGCTGCTTCTTTGATCTTGTTATACATTAAAATATGTGTGTCATTAAAATACTTTCTCGTTGGTCTTAAGTAATTAGGGGAGAAAAATTGAGTGAAATTATATGACAAATTATAATCAATTGATTGGCAAAATCTTAAATTATGACTTTTTAAATGAAAAAGATAAATACGTAATGCTAAGTCAACTTGAAGTTATTGAGAATGTTAAAAAATCTGATGACAGTAGGATCCAAGTTTAGACATTGTATTATATTTAGAAATATAATCCTGCTGAATTATAAGATATCAGAAAATGTCACTAACTATTTTTAAAGTAATATTAGGTCCTGGATTCATATATTCCTTAGGAGTCTCAGGAAAGGGCAAGCTGAACATTAGGTGAAGTGCATCACTACTCATTACAGTATTTTTTGACAATCTATATTTAAGAGTTTAGTGCCACCTGGTCAGTTGCTGCTGCTTAAGATTTGGTAACTTGCTGTCATAATATTAAAAGCTGTAGGGATTTTTTGAAAGTATTTGAGATAAGCACCCAAGAAGTTACTCAGAAGCAGTTCACAAATGTTTCAGTACATGGAGAGAGAAGTGTTATCAAACTATATTGAACTGTCTATGACCCATTGGATTTTCATTCAAATTTTATATCTTTCCCCACAACTTACTTTGAGACGTTAAGCAAGTCACAATTACTTTTGGCCTCCACTTTTGTATTTTAAAGTAGAGCTTCTTTTATGCCCCTTCATTCTAGATTAATCTTTGCTAATTAATTTCACTCCTCTTCCCTCCCTTGCTGGTGAAAAGTGTACAGGAGTATTGAAATTTAACTCTCCACAGTCCAGTTTCAATCCATTATAAGCCACCTCATCTATATATATTTACTGTATTTTTCTCCCAATTTCAATAAAACTTACTGACTACCAGTCACTTTATATTTGTGTTGCACAAGTACATTAGGATGAAACTTCATATTTTTGAACTACTGTGTGTGTGTACATGTTCCACCTCAAAGTTCTTGGGAAGCAGGGGTCAGGGAGGAGGTGGAGAATGATACGGAGCACATTCTGATCTTTCTTATTGACAAAGTTTTGGTGAATCTAGCAGTGTCATCATATTTTAGTAAAAAATCATCATGTACTTTGTGTAATCTATTTGTGGAATTGGTGAGATATGTTTTTAAGGGTTGTATTATGATCTTGTTTCAGTGATACAATAGGGACAGATTGGTTCACAACATTAGGTGGTGTATGTTACTTCACATTTTTCCCAGACAATCTTTAATTCTCAGACCCGTTGTATGTGTCTAAAGCCCAGTAGCTCAAAGGTTATTGCTACCCTATTAAGAGAATATTGATGTGCTAAGGGTAATTCACCCTTTGCTGTGTGAAAAAAGTCACATGTAATCACAAATATTTACACTGTAACCTATCAGTGGCCTCTTCTTGGACCTATTATATCAGTAAACTACATGTGTCTTTTGGGTTTGGGTTTATTGTTCAATCCAGTTGTAATACACACCTCTCTCTTTCTCTATATTTAAATATGTATTTCAATATATATTTTAGTAGATATATTTCAAAGATTTCTCAAAGGTCCTGGCACAATAATGGTTTCATTTCTATTTCTGATTGTGTGTGTATGTGTGAACTGAATCAGATGTATGGATTTGACACTGAACAGGTGGCTAACAAGGTTTAATCAATTTGAAATATAATAATCTTGGTATTTACTGGTCCTTTTCACTATTTGGTAACTGCGATGTTATTAGAAAATGAGTTATGTCTAGCCCCGTAACCTAACTATTATAGTTACAGAGTATGTTACTTAAATGCAAGATAATAAACTTTAATAATTAAAAATCATGTCTCAGCTATTGACTTAACAAATATCAATTTTACAGAAACCAAAAGTTTGACTGAATTGTGATGGGATATGCCAACGAAATGTGGTATAAAATTACTCCAACACTAAAAATCTTTGTCATTAAAGAGTAATCTTACACTTCTTGTGTGTCTAGGAGTAGCTATATTTTATGTGAAACAGCTTTCAAATGTGTGGACACGGGTTTGAGAAGATCATTCATAAATGTGCACAAGCTTTGTGAACTTGCTTTAGACCACGACTTCTCAGCTTTGGCATTATTTACATTTCTGACTTGGTGATCTTTTGTAGTGCAGCATCTGTAGTGTTCATTGCAGGATATTCAGTAGCAGCCCTAACCTCTATCCGATAGAAGCTGATAACAGCATGCCAACTGTGACAAGCCAAGATGTCTCCAAACACTTAAAAATAGTCTTTGGGGGCCAAAATCACCCAGGTTAAGAATCACTGGTCCAGACATATTTATATACATTTTTCAACTGAGTCATAGTGGGAAATTATTTTTGTTTGAATCTATCATCATGCTTTTATCACAAGTAAGATGCAGTCATAAGCAAAATAAAGAGTAATTCAGTAGGGAGGAAATGGCAAAATATTCCCATGAAGATTAGATTTCTCATCTCAGAAGGGCATTGTACATATTTTGAAAACATTTTTAATTATTTTAAATGTGACTCATTATATGTTGCCCACTATCTCTCTCTGGAGATTTATTGACTATCTTTTAGCCCTGAAAAATAAAATTAAATATATTTTATTAACAAAGATCAAGGGCCTGTGTGATATTTCAGGTCCTCTGAGTAGTATTTGCCATGTTGACACTAGATGTTCAAGAGATTTATATGGAAAAACGTCTGTAAAGGAAAAGGAGAAAGCAGCTGGAAGAAGCAAAATGAATCCTCACAGCAAGATGCATATCTGACTCCTGTAAAGGAAAAAGGGAATAAAGGAGGTTTGATAAGTAGATTCTCAGCACAAATCTCAGTTTTCTGCTAAGCTAATTGTCAAAGTTACCCTTTAGAGGAGTCCTGCATCTTACAGAAATAGACCTGCCTCAGTATGCCCACTATGCTCAGTCATGGGCTGAGAGCCTTAGAGAAAAGTAGCCTGAGCACAGCGTGGGGGAGGATTCAGAAGACAGCACCTGGTGATGTCTGTGATGCTACTGAGGCGTAGGTTTGTTGGTCAATTTTTCTCTCAAGCTCCTCAATGCAGATTGAAGGGCTATCTTTTTTTTTCTGATAAAACCTGTGTCTTTATTTTTGGAGGACAAGAAGAACAGGAGTGTTGAAAATTAAATACTTCAAAAAATAATTATAGAGGTAAATATCCAGAGTTGCACTAGCTCATGCAATAGCCATTAGCAACAGATGACTATTTAAATTAATTAGAATTAAATATTATTAAAAATTCAGTTCAGCAGTTGCAGTAACCACATTTCAAGTACTGAATAGCCGTGTGTGGCTAGCAGATACTGTATTAGAAAGTGCTGACTTATACTGTTTCCATCATGGTAGAATTTTCTATTAGACAGCAGTGATCTAGAGAAACTGAAGTAAGATGGTCCTCTATTAGATCCTTTTGGGCTTTCTCTTTCATAAAAATTTGCTACAACTGGATGTCAGCTTAAGTTAACATGTCAGCGTAAATTTATACAAATTTGGAACTGGAAATAAGGACTGAAATATAAATTGTTCATTATAACTTGCACCTAAAAGCCATGGTGTAAGACTCTAATGTCCACTTACTAACAGTTCCAACACATTTTTATCCTTGCTGAATGTAAAAACAATGTTCAAAAACATTTTTTTTTAAATTCTATAAAATAGTTTATACTAAATAAATTACATGGAAAATTAAGGACTTACAGAAATCATTCAGAAAAGTCATCATATTTTGCTTATACATCTATCCACTGATGAACACATGGCCTGCTTCCATGTTTTAGCTATTGTGTGTAACGTTGCTTATAAATATGGGTATACAAGTATCTCTTTGATATTTCGGATTTTCATTCTTTTGGGTATATATCCAGAAGTGGAACTGATGGATTATGGAGTAATTCTATTTTTTTTTTTTTTTTTTTTCTGAGACAGAGTTTCACTCTTGCTGCCCGGGCTGGAGTGCAATGGCGCGATCTTGGCTCACCGCAACTTCCACCTTCCGGGTTCAAGAGATTCTCCTGCCTAAGTCTCCTGAGTAGCTCGGATTGTAGGCATGCACCACCATGCCCAGCTAATTTTGTCTTTTTAGTAGAGACGGGGGTTTCTCCATGTTGGCCAGGCCGGTCTCGAACTCCCGACCTCAGGTGATCTGCCCACCATACATTCATATAGTTTTCCCAAACAGCTATACCATTTTACAGTCACACCAACTAGGCGAAAGTTTCAGTTTCTCCACAGTCTTGCCAACACTTATTTTCTTTTTCTTTTTTTTTTAATAGTAGCAATTTTAATGGGTAGAAGATGGTATCTCATTGTGGTTTTGACATATATTTCCCTAATGATGAATAATGTTGCTTATCTTTTCATGTGCTTATTGTTAATTTGCTTGTATAACTTATTTGAAGAAATGACTATTCCAGCTCTTTGAGCATTTTTGAATTCAGTTGTGTGTTTCTCTGTTGTTGAGTTTTAATAATTCTGTCGTATATTCTGGATATTAAGCCCTCATCAGATGATTTACAAATATTTGCTCCCATTCTCTGGTTTGTGATTTTTGCTTTGTTGGTAGTGCCTTTTGAGGCACAATTTAAAAATAACCAGACAGTTCAATTTACCTGTTTATTTTATTTTACTGCCTGTGATTTTGGTGTCACATCCAATAAATCTGCTAAATCCAATGTGGTGAAGCTTTTCCCCTATTTTCTAAGAATTGTGTAGCTTTAAGTCTTACAATTAGGTCTTAAATTTATTTTGAGATAATTTTTGTATATGGTGTCAGGTATCAGCTTAACTCCACATTTTTTTGCACGTGGATATCAATTATCCAAGCCCCATATTTTTAAAAAGATTGAGTTTTGCTCCATTGAATAGTCTTGGCACCCTTGTTAAAAATCATTTTATAATATATGTAAGAGTTTATTTCTGGACTCACTTTTCTATTACATTAACCTATATGTCTGTCTTTATGCCAGTATCAAACTTTTATTTTAATTTACAGTAGTTTTGTAGTATGTTTTGAAATCAGGAAGTGTGGGTCTGCCAACCATGTTCTTTTTCAAAATTGTTTGGGCTTGGGTTACGTGGGGTGCCTTGAGATTGCATATGAATTTTACAATGAATTTTTATATCACTTCAATAAATCCCATTGGGGTTTTGATAGGAATTGCATTAAATCTGTAGATTGCTTTGGGTTGTATTGATGTATTAACAATATTAAGTCTTCCAGTCCATAAACATGGAATGTTTTTCCATTTATTTATGTCTTTTAAAATTTCTTTAAGAAATATTTTGTAGTTTTTATTGTATAAGTCTTTCACTTCCTTGGTTAATTTCTAATTATTTGATTCTTCTCGATGCTATTAAAAATTGAATTGTTTTCTTAATTTCCTTTTAGAATTGTTCATTGTAAGTTTATAGAAATGCAACTAATTTTTGTGTGCGGATTTTATGTTCTTCTACTTTACTGAATTTATTAGTTCTAACTTGTTTTTCTTTAGTGTAGAAACTATAGGGTTTTCTACATATAACACCATATAATCTATGAACAGAGATCATTTTATTTATTTCTTCTCAATTTGTATGCCTTTTATTTCCCTTTCTTATGTAATTGCTTTGGCTAAAACTTCCAGTACTGTGTTGAATGAACTTGGCAAAAGCGGGCATCTTTAACTTGTTTCTGAACTTAGAAGGAAAAACTTTCAGTCATTCATCATTGAGTGTAATGTTTACTGTGACTTTTTCATATATAGCTTTTGTTATGTTAAAGTTTGTTCCTTCTATTCCTAGTTTGTTGAGTGTTTTAATCACGAAAGTTTGTTGAATTTTGTCAAATGCATTCGCTGCATAGAGATGATCATTCTTTCCCTTTCTTCGTGTTAAAGTGATGTATTAAATTGATTGATTTTCATTTACTGAGCTGTTTTTGCATTTCAGAAATAAATCCCACTTGGTCATGGAGTATAATCCTTTAAATAAACTATTTAATTTGGTTTGCTAGTACTTTCTCAAGGATTTTTACATCAATCTTCATAAGGGCGATTGGTCTGTAGTTTTTTTTTTTTTTTGGTAGTATCTTTGTATGGCTTTAGTATCAGAGTAATGCTGATAGTACAGAATGAGTTAGGATATGTTTCCTTCTCATCAACTTTTTGAAAAATTTTTGAAGAATTCATGTTAGTTTCTTTTTAAATGTTTGGTGGAATTCATCAGTAAAGTCATCAGGTCCAGGGCTTTTCTTTGTTGGAGTTATTGATTCATCTCCTTACAACTTACAGGTCAATTCAGAGTTTCTATTTCTTCGTGGTTTGGTCTTGGTATGTTTTGTGCTTCTAGAAATCTGTTTACTTTATCTAGGTTATTCAGTTTATTGGTATGTAGTTGCTCATAGTACTATCATAATATTTTTTACTTCTGTAGAATCAGTAGGAATATCTCCACTTCTATTTTTTATTGTAATAATATGAGTCTCCTTTTTTTCTTAGTCCAGCCAGCTAGATGTTTGTGAATTTCACTGATATTTTTTAAAAACTTTGATTTTATTGATTTCTTTTTTTTGTTCTATACTTTATTCTAATTGTTATTATTTATTTACTTCTGCTAATTTTGGGTTTAGTTTTTTGTCTTTTCCTAGTTCTTTAAGTTGTAATGTTCAGATGCTTATTTGAGATTTTTTTTCTTTTAATATAAGCACTTACAGCTTAAATTTCCACTTTAGCACTTATTTCACTGCGTCCTATAAGTTTTGATACATTGTGTTTTTATTTTCTTTCATGTATAAGTATTTGCTATTCTCTTGCGATTTCTTCTTTGATCCTTTGGTTGTTTATGAGTGAGTTGCTTAACTTTCATAAATTTCTGAGTTTTACAGTTTTCTTTCTGTTACTAATTTCTAACTTAATTCTATTGTGCTCAGAGAAGCAACTTTGTAGGATATATGTTTTTAAAAAATCCATCGAAACTTAATTTGTGGCCTAATACATGATATGCCCTCAAAAACGTCCCACATGTTCGTGAGAAGTGTGTGTATGCTTTTGTTATCAAAAGAATGTTCCATATAGGTCAGATATTATTGGTTTATTGAGTTGATCAAGTCCTCTACTGTAATATTTTCTCACTTATCTTCTGTCTGGTAGTTCATGTCATTATTGAGAGTTAAGAAGTTAAGTTAACTTAAGTATCCAACTATTATTTTAGAACTGTCTATTTTTTCCCCTTCAATTCTATCAATTTTTGCCCCTTCAATTCTATCAATAATGATCTGTTATTAGGTGCATAAATTTTTGTTGTTATTGTTGCTATTGTTGTGTTTGAGACAGTCATGCTCCAGGCTGGAGTTGCAGTGGTGCAGTCTTGGCTCAGTGTAACCCCTGTCTCCCAGGCTCAAGCATTTCTTAGCCTCTGCCTCCTGAGAAGGTGCCACCATGCCCAGCTTATTTTTCCTATTTTTGGGAGAGATGAGGTTTCGCCATATTGGCTAGGCTGGTCATGAACTCCTGGACTCAACTGATCCACCAGCCTCAGCCTCCCAAAGTGCTGGGATTACAGGCGAGAGCTACCACACCCAGCCTAGAAATGTTTTTTAATTGTTATATTTTCTTGCTGCATGGAAACTTTTATTGATATATAACATCCTTTGTCTTTTGAAACTTTTTTGGTTTAAAGTCTATTTTGTCAGATATTAATGTATCTACTCTCTTAGCTACTTTTTGCATGAAATATTCTTTTATATTCTTTAACTTTCAACTTTTATGCATCTTTGGATCTAAAACAAATCTCTTGTACACAGCATAATTGGATTTTTTTTTTAAAACTCATTCTGCTAATGTCTGCCTTTTAACTGGAGAGCTTAATCAATTTACATTTAAAGTTCACTGATTAGAATGGACTTTTGCCACATTGCTATTAGTTTTATACATATTTTATAGTTTTTTACTCCCTCATTTCTTGCATTACTGTCTTCTGCATTTAGCTAATTTTTTATAGTAAAATGTTTAAATTCCTTTTTTATTTCCTTTTGTGTACATTTCTTAGCTAGTTTATTTATGGCTACCATGGGGATTACACATAACATTATAAAGTTTTAATACTTCAGTTTGAATTTATGCCAGTTTAACTTCAATTAAAAATCACATTTTTGTGTATTTAGTTTTCAAGAACATAAGCTTATAATTTCATAATGTTTTAATCTCTTAAAATATGTATATGTTAAAATGTGAGATTACAAACCAGGTTTTCAACAATACTAAGTTTTAGACTAATTTTTTTTTTAATGCATGTCTCTTAAATTATGTAGAAAACCAAAGGTGGCTGTACACACCACTGTTATAGTAATATTAGCTTTTATAATTGCCCATGTATTTGCCTTTATTAGGATCCTTATTTCTTCATATGGCTTTGAATTACTTTCTAGTATCCTTTCATTTTAACCTGTAAGATTCCCTTTGCTGTTTCTCATAGGCCAGTCTATTGAAAATGAACTCTATCAGCTTTTGTCTATTTAGGAATGTTTTTATTTCTTTTTTTACTTTTAAAGGACAATTTTTCTAAATACGAGATTCTTGCTTGTCAGGTTCTTATTATTTTAGCTTTTAGAACATTAAATATATCAGCTTACTTAAGGTTCTGGTGTAAAATCTGCTTATAATATGTTAAAGATCCCTTGTATCTGACAAGTCCTTTTCTCTTGCTGCCTTTAGAATTCTCTTTGTCTTTTACTTTTGAACAGTTTGATTATGTATTTCAGTGTGAGTCTCTATGAGTTTATCTAATTGGAGTGGTTGAGCTTCTTGGATGTTTATATTCATGTCTTTCATCAAATTTGGGAAGTTTTCAATTATAATTTCTTCAGATATTTTGTATGTCCTTTTCTCTATGTCTTCTTTTTCTAGGGCTATCACAATGCATCTTCTTGATGGTGTTCCATAGGTCCCTCGCCTTCTGATCACTTTTCTTCAATATTTTGTTTGTTTCTGTTTTTCAAGCTCTGTTATTTCTATTGTCCTCTTTCCAAGTTCACTGATTCTTCTGCCTGCTCAAATCTGACTTGGGATCTCTCTAGTGAATTTTTGATTTACATTTTTATAGATTTTAGCTCCAGAATTTCTTTTTGGTTTGTTTTAGGCTTTCTGTTTATTGATATTTTCGCTTCATTCATACATCACTTTTTTGATGTACCCCATAGTCTTCCTTTTCCTCTTTGGGCATTTCTTAAAAAGTTGCTTTAATTTATTTAACAAACACACCTATAATTAGGTCTTTTTCAAGGAAAAGTTTTGTTATTTTATATATTTCATTTGCATAAACCATATATTTTCATTTATTTGTGTGCCTTGTGATTTTTTATCATAGTTGAAATCTGGACATTTGAATCTAATAATGTAATGACTATATTTCAGATCCTCCTACCTTCCCAGAGTTTGTTGGGGTTTTTGTTATTGTTATTGTTGTTTTTTAAATTGTTGCATGTTGTGTCTGTGCCAACGATCAGCCTGAGACATAAACTTAAGGTATTTTCAGGTCTTTCTGAGCCTGTACCTTCCCCTAGGCATGTTCAGTGACTTTCTAATTTCCTCATTGTCTGCAGTTGCTTTTCAAGATTCTAATGTTCAATGTTTGGTTTTCGAAAGGAGAATGAGAAAAAAGTGGAGATGGAGACAAACAAACAAACACACACACATACAGGCCCTTTAAACACTCTGGAAGCCATTTCAGATGGAAGGGGAGAAACTTGCAACAATGCAGGGAGGTGCAATACAACAAATGCCCCTTTTTGTCTAGACCTATGTGAGTAGAAGCAACAACTGTAAAATAGAGCACAGATCTCTGGTATTTGGAGGACAGGGTCTTTTTTCCCACCCTCACTCTGGCAAGATTTGTGTAACCTTCTCCAAAAACATGTTCACAGCTGACAGTCCTGGGGCTAAAGGGTGGGGGATGGATAGCAGCTACTATGCTAAAAGGTGATGCTGACTGAAATTAACTTCAATTTATTACTTATGCCTTTGTAGGAAGTTGCAAGCCTTCTATGGACTCTAGAGTTCCAAAACAGTTACACCAGAATGATTCTGCCTGTACAATTGTTGTTTAGGGAGGGAAACAAATTCTTGGTGCTTTCTATTCCACCATCTTCTAAGAATCCTTGACAGTTCTTTTTTAGTTAAGAGAATACAGGGGAGATATTAGATACAGGAACACTAAAAATAGACACTTTTTTACCTCTATACTAGACATCTAGTATTTTACTTAGTACATAGATTACTGTATAGAGGTCTTAAAAAAGAAACTATGAGGCTGATTATAGTTTTATCATTACTTTACAGATAAAAATGTTAACAAAATAAAATAGAAGATCTGGTTTGCAAATCATGGTGAACTTTATTCCAAAGTCTATACTCTTATTTATGGATTTGGTATAGACATCTTGGCTCAGAACTTGCAGACAGGATGATGTTTATCAGTAAGTCTCTGATCTGCTCTTACTAAAGACTATCTGAATTGGATGCCATGTTGGTTATTTTCAAGAAATGCAGCAGGAGAACATAAAGAGTGAATAATGTCAATTAAAGAGTATATTGTCTAAAGTTTCCTTTGACCACCAAGTGTGTGCTAAATGTCCAATAGAGGGATTCTGTTTTGCAATGATGGCATTTCCCAATCATATTAGAGCAGGCTATTTGCATTTTTGTCCCATCCACATCTTAAGACAGTAATCTGGTGATAGGGTTGAGTGTTACACAGTGCAAGGCAAATGATAAGCAAGAAGCAAATATTTATTGATCACAATTGAACAAAACAAATGAAGTGCTTATTATCTTTCCAATTGTTAGTTAACAGAAACTTTGTGAATTATATCCTTTTATATTTGAGAGATATATACTTAGCTTACTCTATTTTGATACCTAATTAAAATCAGAGACATGAGTTGATTCCTGAAAATTTAAAATTCAAACTATTTTGAAGCTAAACACTATTTTTGAAGATATGTGCCTATATTACTATCTATCTGTCCATTTATTTACCTATGTTAGTCTGTAGTATTTTGAGGTTTTTCTGAAATTAGACCCAGGATTGGATAGTTTTAATACCTGCTTTAACTCGTTATTTGCATATCACACATTGGGGAACAAAATGTGAAACCACCTGTCTTAAGTCCATTTTTGCTGCTATAGTTACCACTGACTGCATAATTTATAATAAACAGACATTTATTTGGTTCACAGTTCTGGAGTCTGGTAAGTCCAAGAGCATGATGCTGACATCTGGAGAGGGCCTTCATGTTGCATCATCCCTTGTTGCAAGGTAGAAGAGCAAGTGAGGGCAAGAGCAAGTGAGCAAGAGAGAGCCAAATTGGCTTTTATAACAAATCCACTCTTGTGATAAAAAACTTACTCCTACAATGACAGCATTCATCCATTCATAGGGGCAGCTCCCTCGTGACTTAATCACCTCTTAAAGATCTCACCTCCCAAGATTGTTTCATTAGGGATTAAACTTCTTTTTTTTTGTTTTTGTTTTTGAGACGGAGTCTCGCTCTGTCGCTCAGGCTGGAGTACAGTGGCGCGATCTTGGCTCACTGCAAGCTCCGCCTCCCAGATTCATGCCATTCTCCTGCTTCAGCCTCCCGAGTAGCTGGGACTACAGGCGCCTGCCACCACGTCCGTCTAATTTTTTGTATTTTTAGTAGACACGGGGTTTCATCGTGTTAGCCAGGATGGTCTCGATCTCCTGACCTCGTGATCCGCCTACCTTGGCCTCCCAAAGTGCTGGGATTACAGGAGTGAGCCACCGCGCACGGCCCAGGGATTAAATTTCTAACACATTAACTTTCAGGAATGCATTCAAACCATAGCACCACCTAATGGTGCAAATTCTGACCCTTAATAAACTGAAGAGTGGAATTGTGTTTAAGGCTAAGGGACTCAAATTTAATTCAATTTTGCTTAAAGTGGTAAGAACACTGATTCAAATCACATAGATGTTTCACTTAGGCAAAGACAAACAAAACATTACCATTTGGTAGAAAGCATTAGAATGATTTTTTTTCCCACAGCAAACCCTCCAGTGACCAATTTCCTCTCTCTTTTTCTTAAAAGTTATCTGCATCAGTATTTGCACCAAAATATTTCAGTGCACTTCTTGAAGTAATAGTCTTTTTTGTCCTTTGCAGACAAAGCAAATAAGGATCTTTCCTAATTGAATGAACGCTGAAAAAGCAAACATCCACCTAGTATACTATTTAATTATAGTTATCTAAATTAAAGTCTATTCACTATAAACTTGAGTGGTATAAATTTGACTTTTAAAAATGTATGGCATAACAGAATATTCAGATGTCAAATAACAACTGCCTTAAAGTCAGAAAAATGTTTCACATAACAAAGCAACAGTAAAATTTCTATTAAAACAGTCATTTTATAAAGTATTATAGAGTATAATTATGTAGATAACTATTTTTGTGTTTAATTTCACCACTTGTCACCAATGGCATGAGTCTTTCAACATCATTGTAAAGGAGTACAGGTTCTGGAAGACAACAGAATAACAATTTGAAACATGAATATCAAGTGTTATACTATATGAAAATGTTGTCAGATTTTAGAAGGACAGTGAAATGAGCTGGATGAAACACAGACAGACACAATGACAGCAGAAATATATATTATGAAATAAGGAAGAAAAGAGTTGTAAATTAGATGAGACTTTAAAAATGGCTCACGCTTGTAATCTCAGCACTTTGGGAGGCCAAGGCAGGCAGATCACAAGGTCAGGAGTTCAAGACCAACCTGGCCAACATGGTGAAACCCTTTCTCTACTAAAAATACAAAAATTAACTGGGCATGGTGGCAGGCACCTGTAATCCTAGCTGCTTGAGAGGCTGAGGCAGTAGAACTGTTTGAACCCAGGAGGCAGAGATTGCAGTGAGCTGAGATTGCGCCATTGCACTCCAGCCTGGATGACAGGGAGAGACTCCATCTCAAGAAAAAAAAAAAAAAAAAGCATGAAGGATAATAAAGTCAGAAATTCAGAAAATTAACAGTGCAAGGGAATTAAAATGCACAAAATTAATGTAGATCATATGTGAAGTTGAAAGACTTATTTAAACATTCTGCAATAATAGTCAAGATGGAAGTACTGAGAACATTTTTTCCCAAAATAATATTACGAGCTAGAAATTACAAGAGAATGCTTTCCATTTAGGAGGGAGAAGATGTCCCTTTTTTAATGAGGAGGAGAAAGGTTTCAAAAAAGACTATTACTTCAAGAAGTGCACTGAAATATCTTGGTGCAAATACTGATGCAGATATCTTTTAAGAAAAAGAGAAAAGAAATTGGTCATTGGAGGGTTTGCTGTGGGAAAAAAATTATTCTAATGCTTTCTACTAAATGGTAACTCAAGGTCACCTACAGAGAAAAATGCAACTTCTACTGAAATATATCTTCAAGAAATAAAGTTACATAATTGCTTTGATATAAGCAAGAAATCCTGTAAATAAAATATTTTGCTTTCTCTAATTTTATTTTAATGCAGAATTGAGAAAAAACAGTCTTTTTTCTGGCAGAAAAAATGGGAGTTTACAGATGATGAATCTTCACATTTAAAGTGTAGGGAAACTTTACATTTATGATTGCATTATGATATATATTAAAATGCTTGAGAAAATGTAAAGACTAAATAAATGAAATGCTGTTTTCTAATGATAAATTATTAAGCATTTTTAAAGACAAACTTTAGGTTAAAATTTATAATACATATTGAGTTAATTAAACCTTAAACAGTGGCCCCTGGTAACTTAAGATCTTAGAGTTACAAAATAAAAGAAAGTGAAATAAATGCCATTACTTTTCTAGAGAGCTTTCATACTGAGAGAAGAAAGGATAAGTAGAGATTAGTTTTAATTTGCATTTATAAATGCCCTACTTACAAGGGTGTCTTAGGAAGTTCTGGCTACTATAACAAAATACCTTAGACTGGGTGGCTTATAAAAATCAGAAATATATTTCTCATAATTCTGGAGGCCGGACGTCAAAGATGCTGGTGTTAGCGTGGTTGATTTCTGGTGAAGTCACATTTTTTGGGTTATAGACTGCCAGTTTCTTGTATCCTTTCATGGCAGAAAGACGGCAATAGCACTCTCTGGGGTCCTAATTATTTATTACTTGTATTTATTTTTTCAATTTAGGTATATTTGACAATTAAAGATTGTATATATTTAAGGTTTACAATTTTATGAATATACATATATATAGTAAAATAATAACCATGACCAAGTTAATTAACATATCCGTCATCTCAGATAGTATCACTTTCCTTGTTACTGCTTTATTATTATTTTTTAATATATTTCTTATTTTGGTGTGGTGAGAACACTTAAGATATACTCTCTTAAGTTGAGAACGGTGGCTCACACCTGCAATCCCGGCACTTTGGGAGGCCAAGGCTGGTTGACTGCCTGAGCCCAGGAGTTTCAGACCACTCTGGGCAACATGGCAAAACCCCATCTCTACAAACAATACAAAAATTAGCCAGGAGTGGTGGCACGCACCTGTAGTCCCAGCTACTCAGGAGGCTGAGAGGGGAAGACCACTTGAGCCCAGGAAATCAAAGCTGCAGTGAATCTTAAATGTGCCACTGTACTCCAGCCTGGCCGAGGAAAGTAAGGCCTAGCCTCAAATAAACAAATAAACAAAAAGATACACTCTCTTAGTGAATTTTAATAATAAAATATTGTTAATTATATTCACACTGTTTTACACTATATATTAAAAATGAACAAAATACATGAGTAGACAGTTCTTAAAAGGAGACATACAAATGGCCAACAGGCATTTGAAAAAGTTCTCAACTCACTTATCATCCAGGAAAACTAATGAAAAGCACAATGAGATATCACCTCATACCTGTTAGAATGGCTATTATCAGAAAAATAAAAGATAACAAGTTTTGGTGAGGATGTGGAGAAATGAGAAACCTGTACACTGTTGGAAGAAACATAAATTAATACAGTCATGAAAAACAATATGGAGGGTCCTCAAAAATTTAAAAATAGAACTAGCTTATGATCCAGCAATTCCACTTCTGGCTATATATCCAAAGGAAATTAAATCAGATGTTGAAGAGATATTTACACTATTTTCCCATGTTTTATTGCAGCTTAATTTACAATAGCCAAGATATTGAAAAACTCTACATTTCCATTGGTAGATGAATAAAGAAAATGTGGTATATACCTACAATGGAATATTATTTAGCCTTAAAAAAGAAAGGCATTTTGACATTTGTGACATGTATAACCCTATAAACATTATATTAAGTGAGAAAGGCCAGACACAGAAAGATAAATACCACATGACCTCACATATATGCAAATTGAAGATAGCTGAACTCATAGCAAAAAAGTAGAAGGGTGATTACCAGGGACTGAAGGGAGAGAGTAATAGGGAGATATTGGTCTAGAGTCCCTTTTATAAGGGCACTCAGACCATTCATAAGGGCTCCACCCTCATGACCTAATTACCTGCCAAAATGCCTACCTCTTAATATTGTAGGGTTAGGATTTCATAGGGACATAGTTGTTTAGTGTATTATAAAAGTTAATGTTTAAATATTAAGGTTAACTGAATAACTGTCATAATTTACACAAGAATAGAGAATATATGAGTAGAAAAATAAAAATAAAAATTGAATTAAAACCTTAGTTATTATCCATATAAAAGGTTAAAACTGGTCTGTATTGGGACAGTAGACATTCTGTGCACAAAGTTATCAAATGGTTTTAAATTAGTTGAAAATATTTAAAGTAGGAAGATTTCACATAAAACCCAGAATAGAAACTTTTTAAATAACAACAACAAAATAAAACATAATATATGGAAGAAGTAACTGAATTTGAACATGACATGGATTAGCTAGGTCAAGTAGTCACTAGCTCAGTTAAATGAGGCATGTACTTGCCAGTTTTTCAGGGCTCCTCAACTAAATATTGTCTCGTAACACCAACAAACCACCTACTTTACACAGCAATGTTAATGATATGGCTCTGTAAATTTAATACAAAGCAGAGACATATATAAAGACCTTACTGAAATTTTTTTGATCAGCTTTTTGACATTATAAACAAAAACAATCAAAGAGATTTAAGAAAAATTGAGTTTCTTATCGCAGAAAATTTAGAAACAAAATACATAGAGACAAAATGAATCATATAAAAATTAATCAATGATGCTGTCACCTAGAAATAGGCGTCAGAGACAATTCTGGATTTACCAGTTTCTAGTTGTGTAAACTCAGATAATTTATTTTATTTCTCTAAGCCGTTATACTCTCACCTACAAAAGTAGAAATTAATAGCATCAACCTCACACATTTATTTCTCATATTAAATGAAACAAGTGCTTAGCTTTTTGCCTTGCAAACATTAAATGTTTGCATGAGAGTACTATTAAATAATTCTTTGTTAACTTCTTATTTTAATGTGTTTATCATATCTTCAAGAACTTTAGGAATTAACTGAAAACATGGAAGCTCTTACCATCAAAAGTGTCCTATATCTAGGGATGTTTTTCTCTTCCTCTTCAAATAAATGAAGCACATGTTACTCGGTATGAGATTATTGACATCTGATATCTTCTGTCAAATGGAGAGAGAAAGACTTTCCAATGAGCAGATATTTTACTTTGCAAAAAGAAAAAAAGCCCATTCTCTTTGCTTTGACGGTGTTTTGTACAGAATCTTCTAAGTGTGTTTTAGGAGGAAATAAGCAGATTTTTCTATCAAAGGAAAGTGTAAAACCTTTATATTATGAAAAATATCTAGGGGTCCTTCTATATAGCATAGTCGAATTTTCAGAAGTGTATAAAGAATAACAGAGTGGCAGAATCTCACAGTCTTTACAGAAGGCACTGGGGATATTATATGGGATCTCTGTTCCGTAGAATTATCAATAAATCCATGGCTATATGAAAACGACTATCTTTTTGAACTTAATATGGCAAATTTTGGGATCATTCATATAAGGAAGGAATTTTGATAGTCCTGGTTATCTGGTAACACAGGGTCTTGCCCAGTGCTGGATTATCCAGTAAGAAGGTCACACTCATGCAAGTGCAACTACACACACACACACAGACACACACACACACACACACACAGGGGCATGAACACACACACCCCAAACAAGGCAAACCAGCATGATGTTCTGTGAAATTCAAGACTATCTCAATCTTTGTACTGTATCATGAAAGAGAAGTGAAAGTTGATATAGAGCTTAGTTAAGACAGTGAACTGCATTGCTACCACTGCAATACAAAAGTAAACTCCTAATTATTTTTTCATTAATTGGTATACAGGTGTAACGGTTTCCTGATCAATAACTGCATACCAGATAACCAAGTGTACAGAAATTTGCTCCAAAATGTCTGGTTTGGGAAATGCCGTTTGAGATACCACCTGATGACACTTTCAAAAATGGACAATGATTTTTCAAAAGTTTTGGCTTCTGCACAAGGGAAATATACAAGTTAAATAGTCATCTGATGGAAATCACCACCATCTACATCTTTCAGATGTAGGTGATATTAATCTCTTCAATTCCCTCAGAAATGGAATACCATTTCTGCTTTTTATAATATGGATGTCAAGGAACTCATTTATCCATTCTTATCATAATAACAGTTATTGCAACGGTCAGCAAGAAAATTTAGGAATTCTGCCAGTTGCCAAATATGTATTACAATTATTCATCTTGAAGTGATGGAAATATATTCAAAGTGAAACGACGGTAACACTGATTCCATAGTCTGACAGCTTTTATTTAATACTTTATTTTATACCTGACAATCCCCAGTCCTTATCTATGGACTACAACGGGAAATCGGGTCTCCAGAGAATATCTTCAAAATATTACCAATATTTAATAATTTTTGGAATATCATCATATTTTCCTTTCCCCAGAGCACAGCCACAATGGTAAGTGGTTTCAAGTTCCTTTGAGTGATTTATAGTATATAATTATGGCATTTTTAAGGGCTTTTATTCAAGGAGATCTAACCTTCCCTTTAGTAAAGAAGATATGCCTCTGTGAATGCGCTTGAAATCGGAGAGTCTGCACTTTGCCATTGTGGTGACTTAAGCCAAGTTTCTTCTGAACAGACGTAGAATTTTTCCAATTATATAGATCCAATAATATTTTACTAGCCTGACAATTCTTTTATATCTAGGAATCTAATAATTAATTAGCAGCCATCAAAAATCCCTGAATGTCAAAACATTTTATTTGCCAATCCACTCCAGCTGCCCATTTGATGGGCACTTTTATTAAGATAATTACATTTTACTTCCTAAACTTTGTCACTCCAGGACCCAGCAGTCCCACGGAAACTGAGGAGCTCATTTCAGTGCAGGCAGATTTCAATACTAACCTTGGCCTTCTAAGGGAAAGCACTCCAGAGATTTCACAGATGCTGAAGCCCAGTTCCTTAAGGTAGTTAACAGGACCTCAGTAAAGGAACTGTAATTTGAGCCTTTATGGGGAAGCTAGTGGATATACATCACAAATATTTTCTAACATTTTCTTCTCCCTAAATCTAGATTTCTTCTTCCTTCTGCCAGGGATGTTCTGGCGTTTGAATCTCATTGAGTGTGGTCAACATTTGTGTATAGTGTTTAGTGAATTACCAAAGTGTAACAGCCACCTCCAGCTTCTGGAAATTGTATATTAAAGTCATAATCTTAAGGTAATGCAAACAAATAGAAAAATTTGAGTCAATCTGTCAATCTCCTTTTGCATCAAACTTTGCCTTGGTCCCCAGGAACACACTGGAATCTGGTTTTGTTATGGGTCTAGGGACAAAGAGGAGTAATGAGCATGGGCCTTGTGGAAAATAGATACCTTATTGCAAAGTGAGGTTATTATGGGACGTTTAAGCAGGAAGAGGTATCTCCTCAGAAAAAGAAAGATCAGGCTTCTTTCACTGCTGGTAGAGTTGAAATTTCTCAGATTCTTCTGACTCCGATTGAAGGTCTCCAGTCCAAACTCAGAAACTCACTTTTCAATGTCTTAACTTTAATTTTAAGAAACTCAGTAACATGTTTTATTCAACTTGCGTTACTATTCCCCAACTGGCATTATTAAATTTAGAGTTTAATTCTTAGCCATGTCTGCCCTGTGGCTATAAGAAATAGGATATTATTTCAGGGCCACAATAGAAGCTTTCTGGTACTCTGTGTCTTGAGTTGAGAGCTTTTATGTGAGAGCTTATTATTTTTTCAGTATAGCCAGAAGTAGCTGTATCATACTATGAACTTTGTAGTCATCATTTCTACCATAATGACTAAAAGCAACAGCAATTTCATCTCCAGAACAAACAACCAACAGATGATAGTTTATGTAATAATGATGTAACTTTATGTCATGGATTTGTGGTATCCTTTTCTCACTGGCAAGAAACTCCCCACTGTGCTTCAGCTTAAATAAGTGTGTAATCTAATTTCAGAAGCCCAACTTACATGTTTCTTAAAACTCTTCTAGTAAAAAGAATTATATTAATGTCAGGAAAATAGAATCTATATTAAATAATTCAATATAAGTAGTATAGTACATGGAACTAGTATTAGAGGCACTGAAAGATGAACAAAGGAGAATATCAGGCAACCAGAAGCCACTTACAGAAAGTCACTTAACTGAAGAAAATATTACCAGTTATCACATAATGTTACCAGAGTCTGGGAACAGTGAACACTAGGGAGGCGCTTAAACATGGAGCTAAAGACACCCCTCAGGCCTATGCGTAGGACTAGGGACATGGAGGGAGGAGAAACTTCACGGCAAAGCTGAAGCAGGAGCCTGTGCTGGAGCTGTCACTGGAGGGTTGAAAGGTTTTACCACTGTTTTTCTCAACTCGATCTCTAGTTTCTCATCAGCACACCTCATTGACTGAACCTAATTAAAATTAGTGGGAAAAGAAGCCTGAGAATATAATGTACAAGAGTCAGTGCTCTGATGTGTAGGGGAAGGGAAGTGAGTAGATGAGAGCAAACAGGGAAATGACTAACACAATATTTTTATGCATTCATACCCAACACAGGTCATTTAGTCTAAATAAGAAGTCATGTTTTAATTTGTAACAGTAATACTTAAGCTATGTACCTAATATTGAGAAAATTTTTTAAAAGTGATAATTTTTTTCTCAGATTATCAGCAAGGCTAGATAAAAAGACTCTTCAGCATAAGAAGAGCCTACATTCCACTCTTAGTTTTCTATTTCTGCTGTAATAAATTGATAGAAATTTAGTAATTATAATGTGCATTTAATCTTGTGAGGTTTCAAAATCTTATCTCCATATTAGTGTTCTATTACTGCATGATGAATAACCACAAACTCAGCAGCTTAAAACCACATCCACTTATTTTCTCACATTTCTGCAGTTCAAAAGTCTGGGCTGACTCAACTGGGCTATCTGTTTAGGTTCTCACAGTCTGATATCTAGGTGCTTGCCAGGTTGGGCACTAGAAAATAATTAACTACCAGCTTCATTCATTGTTGGCCGAGTTCATTCAAAATGTTTGTGCTTTTAGGATGGAGATACCTATTCATTCCCTTTCTGGCGTTAGGCCAGGGGTACCTGTTTTCCTTGGCAGGTGACTCTCTTCACGTTCAAACTATCAAGGGCACATCAAATCCTTCTTGTCCTTCAAATCTCTTCCTGTTTTACTACAAGTCACAGAAAAGCAGGCTTTTAAGGGCTCATATGCCCACCGAAATAATCTCCCTATCTTAATGTCAATTGTTAATATAATATACTGTAACTAAAGGAGTGAGATCTTATCCTATTCACAGATTCCAGGGATTAGGGTGAGATCTCACTGAGGGGCCGTTTTAGAAATTCTGCCTGCCACAGTGGCACACCTCCAATAAGGGGCAGTGATGAAAAGCATTTTTATGTCAACATCTGCTTTGAGCTTTGAGAGTAACAGCATTGATTACCATTGATGTTTGGTAATGAAATTAGTATTTTTAAATAATATGGGAGTTCTGTTTGATGACAGCATTTTAAATTAAATCCTGAAATAAACAGTGACATTTGTGAAAACGAGAAAAGTTCCATTGGTTTATACTAATCAAAATGTTTGCACTTTTTGAATAAAGATGATTTTTTAAAGCAAAATAACACCATAAAAAAGGAAATAGGATTATAAAAATATCTAAGTTCCAAGGTTCCAATAGACTTTCTTAGGTATATTACTTTCCAGATTGTTTCCTTTTTCATAAAGAAGGAGCTATTTGAGTGTCATGTAACATTCCACCATTAATTCTCTCAAAGCATGGAATTGTCTTCGTGCATCAGCTGTGCTGCATTGAGATAGCAAGCCAAGAATTTATCTGTTAATTCAGAGTCTTTCTTAGCTGAAAAATGTCATGGACCAATTTTTAAAATCTAGAAATTGTTATGAGTATCCTGTGATATTTTCCCAGTTATTTTTAAATTATTATTTTCTTCTCTTTGGAAATAGATTGTGTTGATTTTACAAGGAACTATACATTCTTAAGGAATGATAAGTCAACTATTAGCTTTGCATTATTTCAAGAAAATGACAATAATATATGATAATAAACATAGTGTACTTCTTATATTAGGTGCATAAAACAGACTCTTCATTGTTGAAAACCCAAGTAATTGCCATTAGCCACTTTAGTTTCACAGCAGGTTACATAAATTATTATCACATTTAATTAGCATTCTGACAAGTTGAGGAATTCATTACCTGCACTCAGATAACATACAGAAAGTGATTTGAAAGCATTTCCTGCCTTAAAAACATCAGAGCAAATCAAAGAAATCAGCTTCGATTTTATACTTATTATCAAATACCTGGCGATCATTAAACCAAATGACAGAGGAAGAAATGTCAATTATAAATGCTGTTTTAAGATATTTGATTTTCCATACGAATAGACTTCTACAAACAGAATAATATAATTCAACAACATTATTTTATTGTGATATAATATCAAGGATACCTTTCTTTGCCTCCCTTTCTAAATAAGTAAAATGGCATAAATATATCATCATTTAATATCTGAAGCATCATTAAATTCCTGTTTGTTTCTAATTCTAATGTAATGTATGCTAACTAGTTATTTTGAATTATTGAATATCATATTAAAATTTTCATTATAAGAGAGAATTTCCATGGCAGAAGCATATATAGATTTACTTAAATAACTCTTGTGCTGATAATGCTGTAGAACATCACAGACTAATAAAAATAGTAAGTTCATGGAAATATTTATATATATATATATATATATTTTTTTTTTTTTGAGGTGAAGTCTTACTCTGTCACCCAGGCTGGAGTGTAGTGGCATGATCTTGGCTCACTGAAACCTCCGCCTACTGGGTTCAAGCAATTCTCCTGCCTCAGCCTCCTGAGTACCTGGGATTACAGGTGCTTGTCACCATGCCTGGCTAATTTTTCTATTTTTAATAGAGAGGGGGTTTTGCCATGTTGGCCAGGATGGTCTTGAACTCCTGACCTCAGGTGATCTGCCTCCCTCTACCTTCCAAAGTACTGGGATTACAGGCGTGAGCCACCGTGCTGGGCCTGGAAATATATTTCATGCAACATTACATAAGATTACTTTCTATATTTTGAAATATTTTCTAATGATATTATATTACTATTTATTAATGATGATTTACTAATGATATTTAGTAGCACTTTCTCACTCAGCTACTTTATTGGTGCTAAATCTCCAATGTGATAAAAAGAGTTAAACTTGCATGAGAATATATTAATTGCAAAAATAAAATTTTCATTTTACTTATAATTGGAAATAAAATAAAACATGCCTATATAGTATAGTTTTACTCGCCATGAAAATATACATTTCAAATCTGAATGTTTTCCAGAAAAGCTACAGAAGAGTAATTAGATCAGGTTAATAAAAAATAAAAACTATATTAGAGTTAAATAGCTCAAAGATACTACAGAGACTTCAATACATTGAAATCCACAGGGTATACATTCTATTAGAATGATATAAGACAACATTTTCTATTCCTTACATTAAATATGTATATAAATGACATTGATGATTTCCCATATTATGGGAGAAAAAAAGAGTTGTTACTCCGAAGTCTAGGGTGTTGAATTCAATATTAGAAAATTTTCTTTCTGAACTCATCACAATTGTGTTACTTTTTAGTATGATTAAAGAATGCTATCAAAATGAGTTACTTAAAAAAATATGTGAACTAAGAGGATACATTATGTAAGGTCCTTAAGAATCTTTCCAAGTCTTTGAAACATTAAACTCTAAAATATCCTGCTAAGTATGAATACCTTTTAAAATTTATTACCTAGTTTATATAAAAATTAATGCTATTCATCAGAAAACCATATTCTTTTCTTCTCATGTTATCTTGACTCTGTATATACTAACTGATATGCCTTGTCTGTAGTCAGATTTATTGGGTGTAGATTTTGCTATTTACAAGTTAGGTGATATCGCGCAACTAACTGAGCTAGTTGTGACCAAGTATTCTTATCTCTAAAATAAGAATGAACAGTAGTATTGATATCCTTAACTGTTTTGAGGATCAGGTGAATTAATACGAGTAAAGATAACAGGAAAATAAAAGGAATCTCACACAACAAGCCCCAAATAAATGTCAAAAAAGTTAAGGAATAAAACAATACATGAATTAAATGAAATACAATTCCAAAAGACCTTTGCTGTATTTTCAGTTTATGGATTCCGGACATCTTTTTGCACTTCGCTCATTCTGCCTACAAAAACAAATCACCAATTATGGAAGCATAGCCAAAACATAAAACAAAGTCTTCCCAATTGTCCTTATTTAAAAACCATTCAAAGCAATTAGAAGGATGATCAAAATCTGCCATATTTTACACTTTAAGTAAAACCTGAGGACAGAGAAATCTATCAAGCTCAAACAACCTGTACAGGATAAAACATACACATAATAAGAACACAGTGTTCATAGGACTATGTCAGGTGCAGATAAGAATAGAAAAGCCAAGAGGTCAGAGGCATAGTTGAACCCAAGGAAAACAACAGTAGGAGCAAACAACCAAAAACATTCACCCCAAAAGGTAGGAGGCTTTGCCTTATGTGGAAACTACTGTGATTTCTGGAAATAGATATTCCAGATATACCCCAGGGTCATGTCCTGGGGTAAAGGAAAGATGGCATGGGTAGTGCCAAGCGAACTGAGGAAGCAGCATTGTATTGTAAACAGACACTCAACTCTGTTGCAAAAGAAGGGAGAGCATTTGAGTTGAGAAACCAGCAAATACTTGTTACACCATTTCACTTTCCCTATCAGATCATTCTACTTAGAGCTGGACCGGGAAAATTCCATTCATTTAAATATGAATAAAAAGGAAAGACTAAGCCGTATCAATGAAATAAGATCATAATGAAATATACGGCCCGGCACGGTGGCTCACACCTGTAATCCCAGCACATTGGGAGGCAGAGCGGGCAGATCACTTGAGGTCAGGAGTTTGAGACAAGCATGACCAACATAGAGAAACCCCATCTCTACTAAAACTACAAAAAAAATTAGCTGGGCTTGGTGGCACATTCCTATAATCCCAGGTACTCGGTACTCGGGCGGGAGGATGAGACACGAGAATTGCTTCAACTTGGGAGGTGGAGGTTGCAGTGAGCTGAGATGGTGCCTCTGCACTCCAGCCTGGGTGACAGAGCCAAACCCTGTGTCCAAAAAAAAAAAAAAAAAAAAAAAAAAAAAGAAGCAAAAGAGAAATACACATTGGCACACAGGCAGGCAGAAAGCCAAAGACGAGGAGAGAATATGTTGTACAAACTGACAAAATAAGAGAAATAAGTTGAAGTTTAAACATCATTTCAGAAATTAAGACTAAGAGTAGCAAAAGGGAGAAAAAAACAAACATTGAGGATAAAAGTAAGAAAAGAGATGAAACTTTAAAAGAAATAGAGAAATGAGAAGTATTAGAAGGTGACATAGAAGGCATGCAAAGAATACACTAACAAACCTGTAAGTGGAGGCACCCAATAAGAAACACCAGCCACTTAAAAAATATAGAGCAAACAAATCTCCCCAAACCCTAAGATAAATTTAGATAATATTACATGATCTGTAAAATTCTAATTATTTTAGATATGTTAATGATATTTTGTCCATGCATGAAAATGTTTTTATTTTTAGATATAGAATGTCACAATGTCTGTGATTCAATTTAAAAATACTTCTAAGATTTTGAAAACTGATGTTCTCATACAGATTAATTCAATATCTTATGAGGGAAGTTTTTATACATAGTGGTTAAAAACCAGCTTTGGATTCAGATAGGCCTGACTTCAACTCCTATCTAGGCTAATTCACAGGCATGGAAATGTGGCAATATTACTGAGCCTTGGTTTCTATGTCTAAATCAAAAAATTATCTAATGAGTTAATGTGGACACCACATACACACTTAATTCAAAATGTCTCGGCCTTAATTACTCTAATGTGTCAAGTATTATTCATCAATTCTGGGACTGCCCACAACTCACATTTTGGAATTCCCCCAAACCAATAACTATGAATGTAAAGAAGATAATAGAAATATATAATTATGAATTAACAAACAGTTACAGAAAGTAGTAGAATCCTCCCTTATACCTTCTCCCCTGTGAAATAACTAGCTGCTACAAATTTCTGTTTTTAATATTAAAACTTCTCGGATTCTAAAGAATTTGGTGTTTACACTCAATTCAACAGGCAGGAAGAACTTGGTTACAAGCAATAGCCTCTGTTTACTGATAAATTTTAATTGTTTTTGTTTATGATCCGATTTAGAGTCATCTTAAATTTCTCTGACATTCACGAATTCATAGAACTTTCCTGATCTATAGTGATTCCTACACATGATTTTTCTTTTCCAATTTCTGTTGGGAAATTTACAAAATACATTACTCTTTTTAAAATGTATATTTATATTTTACCAAATTTTCTTGCACTTTGTTTATTTCATCATTTGTTTATTTTTATTTTGTCAATTTCAGTTATCTTTTTTTTGTAAATAGAAACAGACTTTTTTATCTTTGAAGTAAAAAACAGAATTTGAGTGAGGACTCTAGTACTTCTTCTTGTGTCTATATTTCCTTAGATAGAACTAAAAATAATGATAAAAGTAGTATCAACTGCCATAGATGATATGCTTATTTTGTGTCAGACACACTGTAGTAAAAACTTTACAGATGATGTAGGGCCTTGTAGATCATTGTTAAATCTTTGGTTTTTATTTTGATTGAGATTGGAAGCTCCTAGAGGATTTTAAGCAGGGGAAGACTATGCTCTGACCGTGTTTTATCAGGACACTCTGGCTACTGGGGAACAACTGATCAAAGGAGTGCAAAAACAAAAGCAGGAAGACCATGCAGTTAGGAAGTTATTTCAAAAAGAAATTCTTTGCAAGTGATGGTGATTTGGACCAGGGGCTGGCAGTGAAGATAGGAAGAACAGTTCAGATTCTGAAAATAGCTTTCTATATATGATCACAGATTATATATATATGGTATAAAAAAGTGAGAAGTCAATGAAGAATTCCAGTTTTCTGGATTGAATGATGGAAAGAAAAGACTTGAGATTTATTGTGATGGGGTATTTTAAGTTAAATTCAATTTAGTGGTAAAATAAGGATTTTGGTTATGGGGCTAGGAGAGGCAAAATCTGACCTCTACACTCTTAGAATTTCGGACTAGGTCTAAGAATTAAATTGACAAAAGGCAGATTAACAGGAGAAAAGTATGGAGAAAAGTATACACATTTATTTAATAAAAATTTTACATGACACAAAAGCTTCATATTGAAGTGGAAGATCCCAAATAGCAGTTAGAATCAAACATTTATATACTGAATTGGACAAACAGTTATACACTGTGAAAACATGACAAGGCAAGGGGGCTTGGGCAGGGTAATTAATCATGGAGAAGTGACTAAGAAGATAAAAGTGAGTTAACAAGGTTTGTTTGTACAGACTTATCTCAGTCTCAACTAGCCATCCCTGGTGATAAGAATGTTACTTCCCTCCTGGCATACAAAGGACATCTTCCTTAGAGGGATTTATTTACTGTTTTCAGGAAGAAAAGGGGGAGGTTGGAGTCCCTTTCTTGTACCTGGTGTTTTTCAAGTATCTTTAGCTCAAAAAAATTCTTATATTATGGTGTCATATTTTGGGGTGGCATATTCTGCTACTCTTTAGGATATTGTTATTTTGAGGGACTTACTAGAATATTAATGTGGAAGTGTAAACGCATATAGTTTAAAAAATTCTGTTGGTAAATGTCGAGTCAATATGTTATTCTGGAAAACCAAATTTTTAAACTTCAACAGATGATAAATGCATAGTTTTTAATATATATAGGAATTGCTTAAAGGAATAAAATTTGTTAATGATTGCAACAAAGTAGGCAGAGTGTAAATGTCTTTTTATTACAGAAATGCCACTCTTACAGGTAGTACTCAGCCAAGAAGACATTTCTAAAAGTCAAGAAAATCTACACAATCCATCCCATAGGAATAATACATAAAAACAGGCGTATTTTAACAGACACCTTTTCAGAAAAATTTATTTTCTAAAATATCATGAATCTGCAGAGAGGCATCACTCTGAAGCTGAAATAGCTAAAGCTCTAGAAATGCATACTTTAAAGGATACAATTTGAACAGTTTCAAATAGAAAATGTGAGAATGCAATACTAGAGTTCTTTGACTATATCAGTAAGATGCTTTAAGTTTAAAGTGTAAAAACCTCACTCAGGTGAGGTAGAAAAATACATCTAGTCACTTATAAAGAGGATTCACAAGTGATTCATGAAGCCAAGAGCAAGACAAGGGGAGCCTCATCTCAAGAGCCACTAGAGCTTCAGGGCATCTGACTCATTATTACCTTCCTATTTTCACAGACAACTTTTCCTTTTTCTCTATCACGAAATAATAGCTGTCTATCATTTCAGAATTTCATCACGCAGAGAGGCTGGTCCTTTCTCTGTCCTAATTACAAATTATTAGAAGAGAGGATATGATCAGCCCTACTTCAGTCAAGTACCCATTCAATTAGATTAGGAAGAGTGTAGTACAAACCTAACTGCCAGATGCTCATCCATGCATTGTGTCTGGCTCATTCACAGAGAAAGGTGTTCAACAAACCACACATTTACCAAAAGAACATGGAAGGCTGGTGAAGACTTAAGTAGGAAATAAGCTTGCAATGTAAACAGAAATCTAAAAGCAGATGATGTAGAAGAAGTCTTAAGACAGTAGAAAAACTCAGCCCATAACAAAAAGAATATATGATCCTGGCTGTTCTTGTGTGAGAGATTTGTCAGTAATCGAATGAGAAACATTTGGCGCTAAAACTTACAACTACATTGTAATTTTGCCTATATATTATTTTCAGATTGAAAAGATATATATGCATATATATATATATAAACTTTATACCGTGTGTGTTGGTTATATGCATAATGTATGCCTGTTTACGTATCTATCATTTCCACATTTATACATATGAAAATATAGACATATGTAAATCAAATTATCTCCTTTAGGACTAATCTAATTGTCATGTTAAAAATATGAGTTAACTGCAGCTTCTTAGATAAATATTTAAATCTAGAGGAACTAATCAATTTAAGAAATCAAAATCTTGGCGCCCAGAGTTTGGGGCAGACAAGAAAAGCAACACTATCTGCAATAATAGGGCCTAACAGGTCCGGTTTCACTAGAGAATGACTAATGCATATGATTTACATTTCCTTTATCAGGTAGCTCTTGGTTCTCATGAATAGCATTTCCACAAATATAAAGATTTTGGATAGAGTGAACATTCTCTGAATTCTTATTCCTTGCGAACCAGAAAATTACACCAGATTTCTCAGTAATTGATGCTGTCACATAGTATTTTCCTCTCATTTCACTAATTTTTTAAACGTGTCTGTCTTCAATGAGTACAAAATGGAGAGATAAAAAAGAACAAAATTAGCTTTATTATTTGATTAGACAATAGTCTGGTAAGATGCTTGCTATGGTTTGAATATTCCCTCCAAAATTCATGTTAAAACTTACTTTTCATTTTGATACTTTTAAAAAGTGGGAACATAAACAGGTGATTAGGCAACAAGGACTCCTCTCTTCTAAATAGATTAATCATGTCATTGAGGGAATGGGTTTATTGTCGAGACAGTGGGTTGTTACAAAAGTGAGTGTGGCCCTCTCATGCTCTTTCGCTCTCTCTTTCTTTTGTCCTTTCACCCTTTGCCGTGGAATAGCACAGCATGAAGGCTCTTGCCAGATGCTAGTGCCACGTACTTGGACTTCTCAGCTCCAGAATTGTGAACCAAATCAACTTCTTTTCTTTATAAATTATCCAGTCTGTGATATTTCCGGTGCTTAATCAATGATATCCTGAACTTAAGATTTATTAAAATACAGCTTAGAATATACCAGTTAAAATAAATGATCCAGGAAATACGATTTTATTTTTAGTATGTTTAAATACTATTCTGTTACTCTTAGAAAACATAAGTATTTGTTAAATTTTACTTAAAAATGGGCAACTGTGATATATATGATTAATTTTTACTTTATAATATAGATAATATTAATGTAAGTTTGTATTGATGGTAGTACAACATATTAAGCTTTTGTATCTCCAAGTATTATCTGTGGATATAGTACTGTTCCCTGTAGCTTATATATTTCCATAAAGTGAACTGGGCACCAAAATAAGAGCAATTAACATTTGAGAAGCAAAAGGGCTCTCATTTGGTTAAAAAATAAATTGTCATTTTGAATTGAATCTGCATATTAATAGCTTTCATTATTATCATCTTTCAGGCTTTATGTACTATTCATTTCCAACTGCCTACATTCTTTTTATGATCTAAAAAATGCAAAACTACTTTTGAGATTCTGTATGTGTCTGATTGCTTTGAAAACCATGAGAGATTCTTTAAAATGTAAAGCATGAATCATTAAAGGGTTTATTTTGCATCTTGTGTATTCAAAAGGTTTGGAATTCATTTTCAAATGTTGCAAAGCACACTAGTATCTCATGGGTTTTTATTCTACAAACTCACATTCTCAATGAATGATTTCTCACTCACAATACTCTACCTGAGCATGAGGCGTACAAGATAGGAGATGAGGCAAATTCCCCTTGAGCATAACTTTAAATCACATTGAGGAAGATGCCAATATTTATGTTTAAAAAACTAAGTCAGAAGCTTATATATCTACTTTAATAGAAGAAACATTAACTTAGCACCTCTTCTGGTATAAAGTTTTACCTGAATTTTCTCCGTACTGTTGTAAATCTTGAAACTACTGACAGACTAATACACAATAACTTCTAAAATTAATACTTGTGCTTTGGATTATGAGTTTCTAGAAGCCAGAATTATTTGTTGTGTATTATTATATTACAAGGACCAAACAGAGTGTTAAGGCACATACTCTGCATCCAATATTTTTGTTGTATTGAGCAAAGGAAGCGGGCATTTAGAAATAATGCCTTGTTTGAGTCATAGTGTCAGAGGCATGTGAACTAGAACAACTCCATCTTGAATAGGAGCTGGGTAAAATGAGGCTGAAACCTACTAGGCTGCATTCCTAGATGGTTAAGGCATTCTAAGTCACAGGCTGAGATAGGAGGTCAGCACAAGATACAGGTCATAAAGACCTTGTTGATAAAACAGGTTGCAGTAAAGAAGCCAGCCAAAACCCAACAAAAGCAAGATGGCCACGAGAGTGACCTCTGGTTGTTCTCACTGCTACACTCCTACCAGCACTGTTGAAACCGGAAAAGCTTCCTTGTCTTTCTCACAGGGTGTGCAATGGGGGTATAACTCACTTCTTCAGTGCCCTGCTGCTCAAACCTCTAGGGGAGCATACAGATGGGCAGGCTGTGGGGCTCCGACCCCATGGCAGTGTCTAGGGGTGAATGTTTACAGCTGAAGCCCCAGTGGGCCTGTGTTACAGGGTGCTTTTTAGTTTAGCCAACCATAGGCGGTTTATGTTAACCAGCTCAATTAGACCGTCTACCTTGTAACAAGGACAGGGGGCTTTCTGTATCCCAGGGTCTTGCCTTGGTGTCCTGGAAGAATGGGATAACACCTGGGCTTGGAGAATGAGTGCAAGGTTTTATTGAGTGGAGGTAGCGCTCAGCAGATTGGGGGAAACCAAAAGGGGGATGGAGTGGGAAGGTTTTCCCCAGGAGTCAGGCTGCTTAGTGGCCCAGGCTTTCCTCCGACTGCCCCAGCCAGACTCCACAGTGTTTTGCTGGTCGGTGGCCTGCCCTGTGCTGGTGCCTGTAGGTGTGCTGCTCTCAACATCCAGCCGTCTGTGTGTTCCTCCGCTGACGAGCTCTGGAAGTTCAGCCGCCTGTGTCTGCCTGCTATGGTCTTGAGGTATTTTATAGGCACAGGATTGGGGTGTGGCCTTGGGAAATGCAACATTTGGGCAGGAAAACAAAAATGCCTGTCCTCACTTAGGTCAGTGGGCACACGCCTGGGGGTGGAGCCCTAGCCAGGGACCACAGCCTCCTCTACCCAGCACTTCCCTTCCTGCTTCCGTATCATTTAAAGTGACTATGCCCTTCCCAGCACTTCCTTTCTGTATCATTTCCCCCCTCTGAAGACGTACATCTAACTGCCATTAGAATATGGATGATGACTGGTCTTAGCTGCTTCCTGCTGACAGGGAGCATTTTTTTTTGGGAAAACAGCAGTTAGATTCCCCCAGAGGTCTATCTAAGGGTTCCTAGCAAAAAGGAGCCAACGCCTGAGGCTCTGGTTGCCTGACCATTTGGAGTTTGATGGCTTCTATGCGCAAGAGAAAAAAACGAGGTTTTTAAGGTTAAGTATGCATGGGTTAAACCTGTGTATTATACAAGGAAAGAATTCAGTGTCAAAGATTTCAGAGACCGGAAGTAAAATATACTGACGACAACATTGTACCCTGAGCTGTTTCATCCTAGTGAAATAAATTAAACCTTGTATGGGAGCAGATCAACTTTTAGAAGAGTGATAACTGTTCTTGCCATATCTTTGTGCACTCTGGGAACTCTGGGGTTTGCAGGCTTGCATAGTGACAATTAAAGCTTTTGCCTCTTTCCTGTACTTCCTCTTTCTTAGACCTCCCTGTCTTTATTATAAAAGACCGAGGTAGCCACTTTCAGGAGGTCCTCTAATGTACTATGTGGTCCCAGGGCCCATTTCTGCAACCTCCACCTGATATGAGGAGCTGCCTGAGTAATAAATTTATCCTTTAGGATTAGCTGTTTCTTGACTGAATCAGGAGATAGAGAAGTGTGCTTTACCAAGGTCTCTCTTAGCCTTTCGAGGAAGGCAGTGGGATTTTCACCAAATCCCTGGTTGAGCATGAACAACTTAATATAATTCAGAGGCTTGGTCTTAGTTCTACATAAGCCTTCCATTATGCACACCCCAAAATGTCTCTTTTTCCAATCTTCCATCTCATCACTGGGATCCCATTTAGGGTCATTCACCGGTATTGCTTCTCTTCCAGTTGGAAAATATTCGCCCCCTTCCCTGATGCTACCTGTGATGCAAAGCTCATCCCCAAATGTCTCTGCTGCTTGCAGAATGGCCTGTTTCTCAGTGTCCATCAGGGTCTCATCTAAAATTAACATAACATTTCTCCAGGAGAGTTCAAAAATTTGTGTGAAGTTCTGGAAAACCTCTATATATCTATCAGGGTCATCTGAAAACTTGCCAAGATCCCCCTTAATTTGCTTTAAGACCCATAGGGAGAAGGGGACCTCTGACCTTACTGGGCCCAAATTCACTGGGCATCCGTTGGAGGGGTAAGAGTGAGACTGGAGCTTGTTTACAGTGAGGATTTCTAGGAGGGGGCAAGTGAGAGACTGAAGCAGGATAGGGAGGTGGGGGTGGACCTGGAGGAACAGGGTTTGAGGGAACGGGCTCAACTGCTGGGAGTGCTTCTGGGACTCATATCTTTAATTCCCTGGGCCTGCCTATTGTCCCCTCCCTGAGATGGCAAACAGGAGAGCTGGATCAATCCTACATTGTCGGCAAAGCTCTGGATTGCCTTGCAAGGTATAGAAAGCCTATAAATATGGGGCCTCAGACCATCTGTCCTCACATCTACAAAAATTTTCCAATTGTCAGATGATATTGAAATGAATGATCCCTTCCTGAGGCCAAGCCAGTCCTTCCTGTAAATCATAATTTGGCCAAACCTTTGTGCAGAGGGCTATGAGGCACTTTTCCTCCAGATTTTGAGGGTCAAAAGTTCAGGATATACTCCAGAGGAGTATAAGCTGGGGGTGGTGAAGAGAACTGGTTGCAAACTCTGAAAGACCGGAAATAGAGGCATCTCTCATTTCCCTTCCTTCTTTCAGCAAAAAACTCACGGTGTGATGGAGAGAGAAAGTAAGTGTCTGCCCTTCACTTTCCACCTCTTGTCCCAGAGCCCCGGCGACCTTGGCAGTTTCTGGCCGTAGGTACCAATGTGGTATGTACCCATGAAGCAGGGAAAACCTGGAGAATAGGAATTAACTTCCCTCACCTATGCCTCCATTTCTCCCTGCTGTCAGCAAACTTTGGGATCCCTGAGCCTGTTTATGCCATGAAGCATAGCCTCCTTCTGTGGGGTGGGGGGTTTAGTAGGCAGGAATTAGTACGGCCCATTTACATTATACCTGTTGCCTGGCTTTGGATTCCTGAGACCTCGTTTTTTTTGTTTTGTTTTGTTTTTTTTTTGTTTTTGTTTTGTTTGCTTGTTTTGTTTTGTTTTTCTAGAGCCTCAGCCTGAACCTTAGAATTGAGTTTGAGACTGAAAAGGCACTTCAGAGGCTGTTTGTATCCATTTAGTGTCTCAAACAAGCCCTGCCAAATTTGCAATTATCAGCCAGCAGGGGTCGCTTCTCTGTTAACATCCCTATTAGAAACAGAGTGGGAGGGGAGAGGGTCTCTCACTTAGAAAAGGAAAAAAAAAATACAGTTAAAGGGGCAAAAAAGGTGGGGGGATGGTGGGGAAAGAACCCCTTGCTTAATGCAAGTGGGTCCCTCTACTACCTATAACTTTTGCATCCTTCCCCCAGTTCAGACCAGGTTGAATTCCTTGGACAGGAGAGGAAAATTTCCATTGGTGTGTGGGGCAAGAAGCACCCTGTAGGGTCCTGGCTACTGCTCCGGCTTTCTCCTACCCACCTCGTGGCTGTTGGGCTCGGCCTTTGCCTGCTGCGGGCTTGCCCAGGCGCCCAAGCTGGGAGGGAAAAGGGTAAGGAGAGGTGCCCTGAGCCACGCGTGCCTGCTGCTGTCAAGGTGGAGGCATACATGGCACCTCTAGGAAAAACTGATCTGATTTCCACCTTTGGTGGCTGAGCCAAATGCTCATTTTACATAGTAACATTGCCACAGCCTATAGAAAACTATTAACGTTATAAAGGAAGGGATAAGACCATTTCAAACCATGAGAGAGAGAGAAAAGAGATGAAAGGAAAACAGAGCCTCTTAGCCACAGAAAGAGAGAATGGTGGCATGGTATTGGAAGAAAGGGGCACCCAACAATTCTGCATTCACTCACATTCACCTTCCAAGATCCTAGATGAGCCCCAGTTGAAACAGGAAAAGTTCCCTTGTCTCCTTTGCAGGGAGTGTGATGGGGGTGTGACTCACTTCTTCAGTGCCCTGCTGCTCAAACCTCTCGGGGAGCATACAGACAAGCAGGCTGTGGGGCTCCAGCCCCATGGCAGTGTCTAGGGGTGAATGTTTACAGCTGAAGTCCCAGTGGACATGTGTTACTGGGTGCTCTTTTAGTTTAGCCGTCCATAGGTGGCTTGTGTTAACCAGCTGAATTAAACCCTCTACCTTGTCACAAAGACAGGAAGGCTTTCTGTATCCTGGGTTCTTGCCTTGGTGTACCAGAAGAATGGGATAACGCCTGGGCTTGGAGAACGAGTGCAAGGTTTTATTGAGTGGAGGTAGCTCTCAGCAGATGAGGGGAGCCAGAAAAGCGATGAACTGGGAAGGTTTTTCCCTAGAGTCAGGCCGCTCAGCAGCCCAGGCTCTCCTCCGACTGCCCCAGCCACTCTCTACGTCGTTCTGCCTGTGTGCCAGTGCCTGTTGGTCCACTCTGCTTGACATCCAGCTGCCTGTGTATTCCTCTGCTGATGAGCTCCTCTCAAAGTTCAGCTGCCTGTGTGTCTGCCTGTTAGGGTCTCAGAGGTTTTTATAGGCACAGGATCGGGGCACGGCAGGCCAGGGGGCTCTTGGGAAATACGACATTTGGGCAGGAAAACAAAAATGCCTGTCCTCAGCTAGGTCCAAGGGCACAGGCCTGGGGGTGGAGCCCTAGCCAGGTACGACAGCCTCTTCTACCCAGCACTTCCCTTACCCCCTTCTATATCATTTAAAGGGACCAAACCCTTTCCAGCACTTCACTTCCATATCACCATGACAGTTTACAAATGCCATGGCAATGTCAGGAAGTTACCCTATGTGGTCTAAAAAGGGGAGGCATAAATAATCCACCCCTTGTTTAGCATATCATCAAGAAATAGCCATAAAAATAGGCAACCATCAGCCCTCGGGGCTGCTCTGTCTGTGAAGTAGCCATTCTTTTATTCCTTTACTTTTTTAATAAACTTGCTTTCACTTTACTCAATGGACTTGCCCTGAATTACTTCTTGTGCAAGATCCAAGAACCCTTTTTGGCGGTCTGGATCAGGGCCCCTTTTCCTGTAACAATAGAATTAATGTTTAAATGGAATGTGTGTCAAGAGATTGTGAACCTAAATTCAAATTGTTTTAATTGAGGTTTGATTTGGAAATTTCTCAACTCAGTTAATATCTAATTCATATTGATCACTACTTTCTATAAATAAACTTTTTATGGCATTGTTGATCATTCCATAATGTTATTGATGATAGTATCATTATTCTATTGAATATATAGTCTATTTCATCACTTATATTTAAGTGAGAAAATAAACACATTTGGAGACCAGTTGTTGCAAACTAAATAATATATTAATGTAATGAAACAATGAAAAGAAATAACTCAAATTCCGGTGTACAAATTTAACATTGAAATACCAATGCAGAGTATCTGAATATCAGTACTGATGCAGTCTTTCTAACTCCTCATAAAATTCCATGAGGAAACAGAAAACAATGACACACAAACATGGTGGAAAACAAAGACTGATGTCCAGCCCAATTTAAGAAGAAATTTGTCATTTCCGCAAACCCTGTGTAATTGAATGAAAAATCCTAGTCAATGGCAAGATGCCTGTTGGTCTAATGTTAGGAAGACTTTTCATTCATTCTTCTCTCCAGTGGCCTAAACTTGGGAGAATAAACAGCGCAGTATTAGCCAGCTGTAGGGATACACTGGATTGGAGGAAGGATGGCTTTGCAAGAATTATATTTGGATGCTGGTATGTAATTCCATCAAGTTAACTCATGTCTGGGTACAAAGAGGAAGAATCACAGGAGAGTGAAACCTGAACACTATTATTGTTGCTCTTGGTGTTTTTCATTAACTCTCTTTCCATACAAAAAAGAATTTGATTGGAACACAAAGGTACAGAGAAGAGAATATTGTACACCCCACACATGCAGAGTAGTTTGCAGAGTTTAATTTTAGGTATATATGTGTGTTTTCGAGGATGAATAATGAGTAAGAAAATAAAGTTGGACCCATGGAAATATACTACAATCTGATAAAGAGGAACCCTATCTTGAAAGTGAAAGGAAAAATGTACCTTTTAAAAATGATTTATTATAGTAATATTTTAGAAATCTATTTGGTATTTTAATAAGATTCAAGAAGGATCAATTAATAGTAGCACAAAGCCATAAGGAAGAACATCTTTGCTATTTTATAAAAAAAGATCACAGATATTAAATACAGAAACTAGCTAAAAGAAAGAGGTTTGGACTTACAGTAGAATGCAGAAATTGAAGTGTCTAAGGAGAAGCTATAGAAAAGCAAAGAAACAAAATTATTCCCAGGAAAGGGGAAAAAAAACCTCAGCAGTAGGAGTTTGAGACCTTGTTATTAGGTTTGTTCCATAAATATGATTCAGTCACTCAGTCTCTAGCTCCAGCGATCAAATTCTTAGTTGCTAATTAGATGAGCTCCCTTAAGCCTGTGATTTTATCTCTCTTGTGTCCCATGGTCTCTCTGGTTCAATCAGTTAAGGCTGAGGTGAATGTGATCCTGCGAATTACAAAATAAGCTGTAGGCAGTGACAAATAATCTTAAAAGATGTTGACTGAAATGAAAGAGCAGTTCTTCTAGTTTGTCCCAGTTCATTTGTAATGGGACACACTGTAGACAGCAGAGTAGAATTTGCCTTGCAGTCAAAACAGTGTTGTGGAGGAATGATATACCACGATGCAAAGAAATAATTTTCAAAATATATTAGGAAGATAAGAAACAGGAAAAATGATGATAGATGTCTATCCAAAGAAAGTTACATATTCCCGAGGAAGAAAGAAGAACATTTAGAACAGAAGCAATAATAATACTTGCTTTGAAGAGACTTCTACTAAGTTTAAATAAAAACATTAAAAACAATTCAATAAGCTTACCATATCATAGGCAAAATTAATGAAATTAGATTCATTTCTGAGGAATTTTTAAAAAAATTTAAGGATACGGAATAAAATAATGCTTATGCAATGTAGACCAGAAGAGGAGGTGATCTAGGAAGAAATAAAAAGTTGCCATTCTCCGATTTCTCCAACTTAATTCTAATTGCCAGAACTCAACAGAGAAAAATGTCTTTGAGTTTTGAAAGACAAAGTTTGTGATACTATATTTATGCCTAGAAACTAATCTGGTTTGCCAAGCTTACACTGTACAAACATATAAATCAGGAAATACACATTGCAAAAACAAAGAAAATAAAGCAATAAATAATAAAAAGCAATATGACAGATGTAAAGCCAAAATATCATCTATGACAATGAATATAAACGTTTTAGCTTCTCTGCTAAAAAACAAAGATTCCCAGATTGTATTAAAATTCTAAAGAGACAAACACAATTTATTTGCAGTACCCCTAAAACATAATAGCCTGAAGTACTGATGTGGTTAATCAATAAAAGCTGAGCCGCAAGTTGCCTGCTTCATCACCTTTTATGTCCAGATAATTTTCATTGGCAAATAACACTATGGCAAAACTCTTTGCCCTGTTACAAATAGTAAAATCACTTCTTTGGAACAATTTTTATTTTCCTTCTCACCACTTCTATCAAAGTCTTATTAGAATGCTGTATCTCTGTTTACATGGTATCATTTATTGCATTTATGATAACACTTAGTACACAGCATTTCATCTTCTTTTGTAGTGACCACGTACTTTATATAGTCCCTCTTCTGTTATCCCCATGGTTACAGTGGTGGCTTCATTGGCAGCTGTGTTTATGCAATAGGACAAGTCTCCTGACCATGATTGAAAACACCTCTCTGAAAATATCGTTTGGTGGCAAGACAGTTCTATATGCTTTCCTAAGGAAGTTTGATCTGTGAAAGGCTTGGAGGCATTTTTTCTCTAACTAATGAACCAAGAAGGGAGGGATACAAAATCTGGAGAGAGTCAACGTGCAAAGAGAAACGATGTGGGGTCAGGGGAAGGCTTTCATGATGTTTTGTCATTTGATTCTCCTCTCTCTGGCTCAGCTCCCATTGCTTTGGGGTTCTGTGAGGTCTGCTTTACTTTATAGCAGAATTTCATTTTTATTGAGTTGTTCAAGGTGATTTTCTCTTTGCTAAGTAAGCATTATGTCATGTAAATAAAATCCTGAAAATTTTAATAACATACATATATTTTTATATTCACTGTCACTTTAAATCAGTTCTGTAGAGCAATTTCTTTACCCTGTGTTTGGTACTCATGGACATAAAGATGGTAACAATACAAACTGGGGACTACTAGGTTAGGGGAGGAAGGGTGTCAAGGGTTCAAATGTAACTACTGGGTACTGTGCTCAGTTCCTGGGTGACAGGATCAACCCTATCCCAAGCCTCAGCATCACACACTCTACCCAGGAAACAAACCTGGGTACCCCTTGAATCTAAATACCCCTTTATTCTAAAATAAAATCAATGCACCCCTTGATCTAAATGTACCCCTTGAATCTAAAATAAAAGTTGAATTTTTTAAAAAATAAAAGAAGAGACGTCTCCCTCAACCTTTTCTTAGAGTGTTTACTTTAGAAAACTTGTAAGTTCTTTATCTGTCTCTTTGTAGTATGTATAATATTTTAAGAATCTTAATAAGGCCCTTGCAAGCTTTATTTTATTTTAAAGTTTTTTATTTTCCATTTGCATGGGTACACAATAGGTATAGATATTTAGGGGCTACATTAGATATTCTGATACAGACATATAATGTGTGAGAACCACATAAGGGTAAATGGGATATCCGTCTCTCCAAGCATATATATCATTTTTTTGTGTTACAAACATTACAACTACACTCTTTTAGTTATTTTTAAAGTGTACAAAAAACTATTACTGACTGTAGTCACCCTTTTGCACTATCAGATACTAGATCTTATACCCATTAACAATCTCCATCCGCTGCTCCCTAGCTATCCTTCCCAGCCTCTGATAACCGTCATTCTACTGTCTCTCTCCATGAGTTCAACTGTTTGAGATGCCACAAATGAGTGAGAACATGGAATATGGAAAGTTTGCCTATCTGTACCTTGCCAGCTTTATTATTATTATTGTTTGTATTATCATTTAGAGAGACAAAGTCTCACTCTATTGCCTAGGCTGGAGTATGGTGGGATAATCATGGTTCACTGCAACCTCAAACTCCTCGGTTCAAGTGATCCTCCCACCTCAGCGTCCTTAGTAGCTGGGACTACAGGTGTGAGCCACCATGCCTGACTAATTGTGTGTGTGTGTGTGCGTGTGTGTGTGTAAAGACAGAGTTTTGCTGTTTTGCCCAGGTTGGTCTCAAAACTCCTGTCTATGGTTGATCCTTGTATCTCAGCTTCACGATGTGCTGGGATTGCAGCCATGAGCCACTGTGCCTGGCCCATGCCAGTTTTAAGACCCAGAAATGTCTTTCTGAAGGACCTAGGAGCCATTTCTTTGAAATGTTAACAAACATCAAGTAAGATAGTGCCCCTACATCCCAGTTTCTGTGTGAGTGTAGAAGCCCATCTTTGATGGATGACTTGCTTCCAGTTATAAAATTACCTATGTCATAAAGACAGGAGAAGTTTATTTTTCCTTTGTATAAAACCCTTCAGCTAATACAGATTATCATCCTCAATTTCCAGGTAAATTTAAGATGCATTATGTGTAATAAATGGTTCTGCCAAGCCCTGTTACTTGAAGACTAGTTATGGTATATCTCGAGAACTTGTGTATAATGGGTTATATCTGTTTGGCTATATAAAAGGGTGAGATTTCTTTCTATCTTTGCAGTCTCAGCAAATTGCATGTGATGTGCATCCCATTCTGATTTAATTCTTATTCAGTCATAAATCTATTTTCATTCTCTAAAGAAAAAAATAAATTAAAAAAATTCTTTACCATGACTTTAGAGGAAATCTAGAACAACTGTCATAATTTCCTAGGTATTATTCTTAGGTAATAATAGGCCATATGGCTACTTTAAATTAGCAAAATTCAGTTTTAATTATGTAATTTAAATATTCAAAGCTTCTATTAATGTGAAGTTTCTCTCTTCCCACAGCTAACTCTTATTCCAGGGAGAAATCAACAGTTGCAGAGAGAGGTACAGTCAATTTTTCCTGTGTTTCTTTCACTGCAAGCTTTTTCTTCCTCCTTTTTGTTAACCATAATTCTGACCATTCTCAGATGGGGGAGAAGAACTGCAAACAGAGACATCAATTTTTTGATTTCAGTAGAACTACGATACTAACTGGAATTGGCAGATACTGAAAGTTGTTTTTGCCATGAACACATTTGTGGGTTATTTCGAGATTTGCCTCTCTTTGAATCTTTCATCAATAGTTCCCAAGATGAGAACTCCTTTGTTCTCCTGTAGACGTGTTGTGATACCTTATATTCATTCTTCTGAGCTCTATTCCTCCAGGGTGCCCTCTTGAACATAAGCTAAGATGATTCCAGGGCAGCCCTCTTTTGCATGTAATCCACATATTGTTCTTTTGGCTGGGAAAAATGTTTCATCCAACCTTCTTTTTCTCGGTTTGGAATTAGGAGCTAGTATATAGTCCTAGAACCCTTCCTTCAGGGTAGGGGTTGGAGGACATACAACACAGCTTATACCATAAAAATCCTCCTTCAAATTTTTCCTCATATTCCCTGTGCTTCATTTCAGGAGGGCTAGTAATTTAATAATCACAAATAGATTTTTCCCTTCCCATATTTTTTTAGGAAATTCCAGTGTGGAAGGATATTGCACCTAATTTTAGAATATAGGTCTGATAATTCAAAAATTGTTTTGCAAGTTCTTTTTTCACAACAAATATAACTGTAACCAATATTTATTTACAATGTGTAAGAGCAGGACCCAAGGCTTTCAGTTAACTTGCATGTTTTCAGCACCTATAGCATATCTTCTACTATATTAAAGCTAAATGAAAATAATTTTTGAAATAAAGCTGAAAGTGAGGTAAAATCTTAATTTAAAAAGTTATTCAGATGATAGAAAAATGGTTGACTTTGAAAACATAAAGTTGACAGAATGAAATTCATTCATGCTTCGGGATATGAGTTTAAGGCACAGATTTTGATTTCAAAATAGACATCCAAATGACCACAGTAAAAAGGTTTCCCAATTTTGAATCATCTTTGTGAGAGACTGCTCCAGAATGGATTTTCTGTGAAATTTGACGAATCAACTGATTATTGTGAAGATATATTTACTCAGAAGAAGTGATTTTAATTTTGCTGATTTATTTAAAATGATGTTAATGTCAAGATTTTAACTTTGAGGTGCATCATAAAAGAGGATGTTTCTCAAAAAGAAAGAAAAAGTAACTAGTAGACAATAGAACCAACACTAATGAACAAAGCCTTCTGTTTTTCATTTTTGTTAAAATTGAAAACTCTAAAGTCACACATTCATAGCATATTCATCTATTAGTTTGGGGCCCAGGACATTCAACACTCTGTAACATGTCTTCTACTTATAGTTTTATTGTTTCTTCTTCTTTTTCCTTGAGAGAACATATATTTCTATACAAGAACAAAATCTGCCACCACCCAGTCAGGGGATCTTGGAATCAAGGTATTACCTTATTTCTCTTCATTAGGTTTTTCAGATAAATTTTTAAAGTTCTAAATAGCTATTGTTAGAATTGTCTTGTTTCAGAAGCACTTTCCTCAGCACTTCTTTCTTAGCTTGCATTTTGAGTGCTATATTACTCAGACGCTCCAGGCAAATAAAAAGTACCTTACTGACAGATTGAATTGTTTGTTGTCTTTTTTCTAGCTCTGAACTTAATGTCAAAAGTGGAACACAATTTAAGAACAGATGCAAGAATAATTCTTCAAAAACATTTTGCATTTTACTTCTTGCCAGTTCAGAGACAGTCTACTCCATTCCCAGCTATTCCCATAATTAGATCATCCAAGTAGTATAGGATCAAATGTCAAACAAACAAAATACAGTGTTATAAAATATGGTATAAAATAAGTAGGAGTTTGGGGAAAAAGTTTTATTTTTATTTTTTGCTCAAATGCCGCATAGTATTATAGAAACTTCACGCAGTCATTTCCTTTAACATTTACAATAACACTGTGAGTTAGGCATCTTGCGTGTGTGTGTGTGTTTGTGTGTATATGTGTGTGTGTGTGTGTATATGTGTGTGTGTGTATTTAATGAATGAGTAAACTATGCTTAGAGAGTTACCATTGCTGAATAAAGATTTCCCAACTATTAAGTATATCTCTGTAATTGCAAAGTACATGAGTTCCCTTCTTCAGTGAGCAAATTAAATAAATTTATTTTAGACTATATTTTTTCTGAATGTACCAGCTTTGTAAGAATGTTTTCTTGATATATTTTTGTTAGACTTCTAGTAGAGCCTGAAAGAAAATATTTGGTGTATAAGACAATTCAGTGTTTTTAAAATTTTACTTAGATACGACATGAATTACAATCAAATAAACAAAATGGATGTTATTTAAATGAGAAATACAAAATTTTACATCTGAGAAATAATAATTAGCAAGGCTCCAAACTTTTTAATGCAGTTAATAGTTTGATTGCTTATTTTTCCATTAAAAATGATCACAAATGCATATAATTATTATTAGTTTCACAGTATTTTTCAAATTACTCTCACCTTATCTCATTAGAAGAATGGACTCTATTAATCAAGTTCTATGAAATGAACTCTATTTCTATAACAGTAGATATTTTATTAATCTACTGTTATAGAAATCTTATTGTTGCTAGTCTTTGAAAGTACTAACTTCTAAATGGACACAACTATGATAAATAAGTGATTTATTTTCATACATTTTTGAACATTCATTGATTTAATACATATTTAAATATAATGAAGAGGTCAACTGCTCAGAAAAAAAAATCCAATGTTACTACTGAAAAAAGTAATTATTATTCATGTGTATCAGATTTATTCTTTCCTTCACTAATTTTCTTAAATATAGATATTGAATAGTTTTATTTGCAGAATTCTGTGCCATGTGCTACAGTATAATGGAATGCAAGAAAAGGTAATGAAATCCCTGCCCTCATTGGATTTATATTCTAATTGGGGTAGATAAATTGAAGAATTACACTACATGCATATAGGATATGCACTTTGAAAATGTGTCAATGAGGAACCTGATGGAGATTTTAGAAAATTTTCTTCTTGAGAAATGGTGATTAAATTTAAGTATAAAAGAAGAGTTTATAGTTTACTACTTGTTAAGAAAAAGGATGTAGAGAAAAATAATTCCAGAATGAGTATATAAAAGGAGAGACTGTAGTAAGTAACAGGAAGAAACAGGAAGTCAGGATAGGTAATGACTTTTCTATGTATAGAGAAGTTGGACAGCTTCAGTATGAAGCTGGAGACAAGACATTTTATAGAACAGGAGGCCTGGAGGCTTATGTGAAGTGTTTTCTTCTATAAGGAAGAGGAAGTTCTTTTAAAAAAGTGGCATAATTACAGTAAAATATTGAAAAGATTCAGCTGGTTACAGTTTAAGGAATGGTTTATAAGAGAGCTACATTTAACAGAGGGAAGCAATTAACAGGCTATTGTTATAGACAAGACCAAATATGAAGGTGGTGTTGGCAAAGCTAGTGGAACACAGATGGAGGGATGTGGACAGATTTAAGAAACTTTCAGGATGTAAGAGGGCTCAGTAATATATTTTATATTTACTTCAGAAAAGCATTTCACAGACTACCATGAGAAATACAAGGAAGAAAATGATACATTGTTTTTGTGGAAGAACTTTAGATTTTAAGACACCAACTTAAAAATCAATGTATTTGTACAAAAGACTGATGAGTACGTGAAAAAGTGTTCAATAGCATTAATCGTTTATATCTTCTGATTCCGAGATAATTGAATTATAAATAAAGTAGCGTTCTATTTTCAATATGGTACAGGGGAAGGAAATATCCTTGTGGGAAATACTTAAGACTGAGAAAAAGAGGAAACATTTGAAGAAGTACTTGATGATATGCGGTAAGTTATCAATCATGAAATATGGTTCCAAATTTTATAGTGAAAAACATTTCACAGGAGAAATGAAGAAAAGCCATCAGAAAGTAGAAATTAGTACTGAAATGAGAGTTCATAATATACCAATTATACCAATGGTGCCCATATCAGAAATTAACAAGGAAACCAGTAATGTAATTTAAGTCCCATTAATCATTAGATAAGGACGTGCCTGTCTTTGAGCCTAACACTATCCAGGGCACAGCTCTGTCTTATAAAAAAGACCCAAATGCTTTTGTTTAAGACCAGATGATCTATTATCTTGCATTTAATTGGTGTTGGAAGGTGAAGCAAGTTCAGCAGTAGCTTGAACCAGAGAACAAGTAAGTTGGAGCCACGTGGACTTCATGGTAGAAGGTTTTCAGTGATCTGAAGCACTCCCTTGTTGTATGTTATATTAGCATGACCATGTTAGTATGGTTTCTCCACTGGATGAAATAGCCATGGGGTGGGGGGTGCAGGGGGGAAACACCGTTTTTTTCCTCACCTCTGATTCCCAATCTAGAGAATGTATGGAAAATGTTCTATCGAATAATTGGTTTATAAATTATATCTTTGTGTTCCTCAAGCAATAACCTTGTTAGGGAATATAAACCCAAATACTCCTCTTGAGGTGATTTCAAGCAAAGATTGAGTTTTTGTTGTTTGTGGCATTGCTACATGGTGTGGACCTCAAGGTGGTGGGTTTTTGTTTCTTCTGTAACTCATTATCCCAATCTGTCTAATGTAATGCTACATTTATCACAGCAATGAGAAATTAAATTTCTGAAATAACTCTTCTTTAATCTCACTTTTGAAAACTGAAAGATGCAATAAAACTATGAGCAGTTCGGCTGCATGCGGTGGCCCACTCTTGTAATCCCAGCACTTTGGGAGGCCTAGGCGGGCGGATCACTTGAGGCCAGGAGTTCGAGACCACTGGTGAACATGGTGAAACCCCATCTCTACTAAAAATACAAAAGTTAGCCAGGCATGGTGGGGCATACCTGTAATCCCAGCTACTCAGGAGTCTGAGGCAGAGAATTGCTTGAATCCAGGAGTCAGTGATTGCAGTGAGCCGAGATTGCGCCACTGGGAGACAGAGGGATACTCCATCTCAAAAAATATATAAAGAAAGAAAAAGAAAAAAAAAGAAATCTATAAGCAGTTCATTAAAGGTAAAAATATTTTCTTTGATTATTTTTCTCTTAGCAGCTTAAAATATTTATATATTTCAAAGAACATTAATATTTAACAAAGAAGAATACAAAATTTACTGTTAAAGACATAACCACTAGGATTCATGGTTGAAATAGAAAACTTTCACTCTCCAAGGCTTATTGTGGATATTTCAGTGGATAATTACATGGTGGGATTGTAAATATAATTATTAAAAATAACAATCTTATGTCATTTGTGCTAGCCTGTCAGGATTATGGTTGATATTTTTCAGTAAAGTTTCCCTAAATGGTGTTTTAATGACTTTTTTCTACACACCACAATTTCTTATCCTGTTTCCCTGCTCCAGAATGTACAAACATATCCAAGGGAAGAAACAATAAATAAATGAATGAGAAGATAGCAGACATATAGATAAGGCAGAACAGTAAAAATGCATGTTGCAAGATAATAAGTTCAAATGGAGATGTAACAAATTCATTCCATATCTAGGCAGACAAAAGCATCAAGGAGCTCCTTAAGCCAACTAGGGCATTCCAGTACTAATAAAGTTGAATTATCTTTGACGTTCCACAAAGCTCTTGGATATCTTTAGAACCCAATTTCAAGTATCATATTTTCAAGAGGGAGATGATGTATCCCATGCTGGAGGCTTCCTTTCACTCCACATTTAAGTCAACCTGTCTCGTTCTCTGCACAATGATGCAAGGTGATGCAGTGAATGACTATTGGTTAATATGTGGGCACTAACTTGTTTATTGAATCTGTTCCTTGGTATGACTTTCTGAAAGTCTGCTCCATTTTTACTCACCTCCTGGCTGTATTGGACAAAAAAAGGATGTCTAATTTGACACCCCCTCATCTTAGCCATAGGCTTTTTTTGCTGGCCTGTGCATTCTGATGCCATACCATCTAGCAAAAATTCCATGAGAGAGTTAGGAAAATGTCTGCAGTGCTCTTGGGTTTAGGCATATAACACAACTGCTCTATTCTGCAACCACCGCATAATGATGCCGAGTCTTTTAAACTTTCTGGCGTCTTGTACTTCATCCAGTGTTTAAAGCATGGGAACTGTCCACTGTCATTCCTTAAAAGTCAAAGTCCTTTTTATCAAAACTTAGTTCTAGGAAGTTGGAGGAAGGTGCAGTGTCCCCTGTAGTATTTAATGCTCCTGTTTCCTCTATTCCCAATCTCTCTCTTTCTCAGTTTGGTGGATCTTAACCCATTTATGCCTGAGGCTGCAATTTTCTTTTCGTGAAAAATCAGACCTTTGTGATGATCTTGAGCAGGAGAATATAAGTAACCCCCACAAGCTTAGCCTCCCAATAATAAATCATGAGGCATAAATGGGTTTTAATATAATAAAAAAAAGAGAGCAGTAATCATCCTAAGATTTTGTCACTATTTGGTTTATTTCTTAAATATATCAGACTTAAATCTAGATCCGTAACATTTTAACTCAGTAAAGTACTTCTCACAAACATTCTCAGATCCCTTTCTGATAACTCCCACTGGCTTCATGACTCCTGAAAAAAATGAGAGGTGATAGATAAAGGGATTAGTGTTGGAGAGAAAAGAACACTTCAATTAATATATCGCTATATTGTAATACTATATCATTATTTATTTTTCTTCTGTATAAAGGACAACATATGTAAATGTATAGTTTCATAGGCTATCTTTTCTGGAAATGATTGATTTAACAATGAGGATTATTAATAAGCCCCACCAAAAGACCTGTGCATTTTGAAAAACATTTTAAAGCTTAGAGAGCCAGCATTTTTACTTTCTTGAATAAACTCTTAAATGGTATTATGCTAAATCCTCCAGGCAAGAAACTAGCTCTTGACTGGAAGAGAGTACCCCAAGGGAAACAGATTTGTCTGCCTGTGGGTACCCAGCAGGAAACTCTGCAGAAGCAATTTAAGGTCTGGCAAACATCTCTCAGCATAGCCTGGGCTGGAGAGTAAGGCCAAAGATGAATATAATGATACAATGGTCATGGTATCTCCTCCTACTTGCCAGAGGACTCTAGGCCAAAGAAGACACTGTAGGGCCCTTCCACTTCTGGAGAACAATTGTGTGTGGAATCTGCTTAGCACATTTAGGGATTTACCTCTCAGCACACAAATGCGTGCGTGTGTTAAACTTTGGAACTTGTAGTGCTGTGTATTTTCTTTCTTTTATTCTAGTTAGCACTTTATGCCCTAGTTTATTCTCGTTTTATTATTTGAGTTCATTTAAAATGTTTTTGCATATTTATCTTTTTCTTTTAATCTTTTAGTCCTTTTGTTTTACAGTCTCACAGTTAATTGTTCTTAGTTGATTTATCTTTTCTTACTCTTTCATAAGACTTTTCTTTTATCTCATGTTTACTTTGTTCTTATATTACTTATTTACTTAGTTTCTTCTTATCACCTTAGGCTTTGTTTTAATTATTTCCTTTTTATGTTATCTATTTTTCATTTTAGTTTTTAATTTTTTATTATCTTCTTTCCTCTTTCTTATCTTTATTTTAGTTTATCTTAATATAACAACCAGAGTACTAAAACATGTGAGAAGAGAGATGAGCAGAGCATGCCTCTGCCCTAAGCAAGGGAGATTGCTCTCTTTCTTTTGTCCGCTTGGTTTTTCCTGTCTCTTACCAGGGAGGATCATCCTATCTCTAAACTCTCCTGGCTCTAAATCTTCATTCTGGAAAGGCCATGCTGTGCAGTAGTTAAGGGCACAGTCTTAGGAATAAAACAAATCTTGACTCACATTAGTACTGTGCTCTTAGGATTGTTACCTACTCTTTAGCACTAAAAGCTAAAAGTCTATAGTAATAACAATAACTTGCAAATGATGTCCAGATTAATTCATATGAAACATATTTACTCGTTTCTGCCTACTTCACTATTGGAAGGACTAGGATACGAATAACATTTAATTATGTTTCTAGAGGGGTGGCAGCCAGTCTTTTCAAGTTACTCCATACAATCCTAAACCTAATTTTTATTAAGCAACTGACATGGATTTCCTTGTCTGTCGTTTCTGGACCAAATAAACTATGACACCAATTTTGTTCCTTTCCATTTTTTTTTTTCATTTTTCTCTGGCATCCTTTTCTTTGCCTTGCCAAGGAAGAGACATGTCCTTTAAGTGAGGTTTGCAACTCTTAATTTCCTTTAAAATAGCCTAAAGTAGCCAAAATGTTACCTTTAGGTTGATTCCTCTATTCTTGTGATATTTGTCCACTTAAATTGCTCATTGATTCCAAATGATGGCAACGGAGAGCCATGGTTCACTGACAGATTTTAACAGTATTCTGCATTAACTGATCATGTTTTATTTACTTGGTTTCAAATTTCTGTCCAGGAAAGTTGTGAAATGAAATATTGGAACTCTAAATTTAAAGTTCCTAATCTATCATTGTAGAAATTGTCCAGAGCTCCCTTTCTGATTTCATATCTCTGACAATTAGGACAACATAATTATTAGGATAGTAGATAATATTGTATGTGGATTTAACATTGGTTTCTCAAGAAAATAGTGCTTGCATGGGTTTCACTGCTATCTGTTATATGTCGAAAACTGTGCCAGTTCTCAGAGCAGAAATACGGTCAATGTAAATATAAACTAAACAAATTACTATCAATTATTTTTAGATCATTTAGTTTCAATATGAACCTGTTTCAACATACGTTGACTATTTCCATTAAAATGAAGACTATGTCTTAATGTCTTTTATTTCAAGATACATTCATATTGCCTAAAATGCAATTCTCTGGAAAAAGCATTAAACCATATTTATGTAGCTTGGGAAAGTCTATCTTATACAAAGCTCAACAGATCATCTATTTGCATAGGTCACACACATTGTCAATTGACTCATATTCTAAACTTTACTGTTTTACTTAACTTTTTTTCACTTTTGTCAAACGACTTTTGAGAATCATTTAGATATTTTGCATATGTCTATATTTGTAATTGTAAAATAGAGTTTGGATTTTTCAGACAAGGATGATATCTATTTCATTTTTCTCCAGATGTTAAAATATGAGAGTAGTAACATTTGAATATTAAATAACCTGCTATATAAAAAGGCACATGTTTCTCTGAATCATGGTCAGGTTTTTTGCATATAGGGAAATTCAGGATTTTGAGATATCACAAGAAATCAAGTTCTTGTCTCTCAGTTCTTAGTCTCAGCTATCAGTAAAAAACTTCTAAGAGTCAAATAACTTAGTTTCTACTAACAGTTTTCTAAAAGTATTTGTCAGCTTTCACTAGACTTCTTAAAATTTATTTTAATGTGTTGTTCTTTTAGTCCTCTAACTTTTCAATATTCAAGACAATTATTTCTGCATCAGTAGCACTATTCGCCATGTCAACTGGCTTGTCATTTACAAAAAACTTTTTAACAATATATGCTAGCACATTTTTGAGATATTAGAATTAAAGCTTTCAAATTACTTTGTCTTTCAAAAAAGATTGTTCTGTAAACACCATAGAAAAATACAGTTTTGAATTCTCTTGAACTGCATTCCTGACATAAACAATATTAAAAGTTTTTTGCAATAATATATAATGTACCTTATTATGTCACCATGATAAATAAACTTTCTGGAGCTATTTATTTTCTAAGTATATGTTATACACTTCATATGCTCCCTTTGCCTGATTTAATTAAGAATGGGGTACAAAAAACCAGTCAAAGCACTTCAAGATATTTGGATATTTTACTGTGATATAGAACCAAAATGGAGTAAATCAAAAGATTTCTTTGCACTTTCTGAAGTGATCACAAGATTTGTAGCTCTTACATAAATAAAACTTGAAAAGGCCTCTGTCACAATGATCTTTTGTAACAATGACTAACATTTTTACTATGTGAGCTTAAAGTTGACTAAAAAATAAGATTAATTTAGCCTACCTTAAGTTTTCAAATATGACAAAATCAGATCAGATTTATTAGCATTTTAAAATCATTCACAATATTATTAATATTTAGAGAGTCAGTCTCTATTAGTACCCATATTTGAGAATGCAACCAGATAAAAATAATTGTTTTATTTCCACATCTTAATTCTCTATCAAATTTGAAATAAGAAAGGCACCATTCAACAAAAACATAATACTTGTTAATCTGTATTTGCTCATAAAATCATTTACCATTCATATTCACTTCAGGCTGGAAGACCCATGTTTATTGTGTTGAAAATTATTCATTGACAAATAATAGTATCTGCTTGTCCTTATTTAGGCAGAACCTGACCATGGAGTTATTCAACAATATCATATCAATTTGAATGAATAAATTTTTCAGCCACAGTTCTTTCAGAAATTTTGAGACATATAAATAGGGCAGTTGATAACTGTCCTGTTAAAAAAGCTTTATCTCTTCTTGTCTTTTTGTATAATACTCAAAGATTTCTATTTTCATTTTTAATTATGCCTGAGTTTCCTTTATCCATTTGTGTTTCTGTAGGTATTTGAAAAGCTCATGTAAGGTGGCTTATGCGGCTAAATATGTATATATATATATATATACACATATACATATATATATACATATATATATATACATATACATATATATATACATATACATATACATATATATATACATATACATATATATACATATATATATACATATACATATATATATATACATATATATATATATATACTTCTGTATCATTGTGAAGATTGTTTATTTTTTTCTACTATCTTGATTTCCTTGCATTTCACATCAGGCAGCATCCTTCCTGTTTTCCTTCAGTCTTGGGGATTTTTTCACTCTCTTTTTCCTCTACTTACCTCTTCTGGCATTAGAAGCATATAGCTGTTTTTTGTTTGTTTGTTTGTTTTTAATTTTTCCTTGCAGAGCAGGGCTACCCCACAGGCAGTGTGCACAGAGTAGCCAGAATCAGTTTTAATATTCTTGTTTTTGTTGTGGTGGTGGTGGTAGAATCTGGTTTATCAGATAAGACTAAGTATGTCTTGAGTGAATAGAAATGACAGTTTTAACCCAGTTATTTTGTTATTTACATATAAGAAGTCTAGAGGTTTTCATATGGGGTCTGGAATAGCAGCACTAAATTATCTTTGGGAATACTGGCTTTTCCTATCTTTCCATTTAGCTATCTGAGCGTACAGTTTTAAGTTCACACTCAATGCTTCATGGTAACTGGCAGGTTGTTTCACCTATGGCATCAAATCTCAATTTTAGGTAAGAAGAAATAGAGTAAATGACAAAAGTTTATACCACCTGTGTCTCCTCATTTAAAGAGCTTCGCAGGCATAAATTCTGTTTACATCTAATTGCCCCAAAGTTGTTCAAATGAATGCTCTCAACTGCAATAGAAGTAGAAAAAATATAATTTCTTTAAAAAGCACTTTAAATGACAGAATCATATTTCTGAAAGAGAAAAATAGACATTACAAAGTCCACAATGGAACATTTTGAAATAATTTGTCCCTTACTCCTGACTTTGCCTAAAGTGCTGTGAATTCTACCCAAAATGAACAGTTTTTGTTTGTTTTTTCAGTTAATCTAAAGTTTAAAATGATCATTATTTGTAAAAAACAAACAAACAATAACAACAGAAAAACCTTTTGCAAATGTTCACCATAGAGTGTTAAGAACAAAACAAAACACTAACATGGGAAAAAATATGAAACTCAATATTTGTAGATTTTCACCATAAAATGACTTTTTAAAGAGAACAAAAGTAAATAATATACATTGTATATTATTGTACTGTATAATTAATTATACTAATAGTATTATTAGTATACTACTACATAATTAGTATAATACATTTTTATATTGTGCTAATAATATTTATATGATTATATTAGTGTACTATAACTGTTATGCACATCCATATAAGAGACCACCTGAGCAGGCTTAGTGTGAGCAACAAGGCTGTTTGTTCACTTGGGTGCAAGTGGGCTGAGTCCGGGAAAGGAGTCAGTGAAGGGTGGTGGGATTGTCATTGGTTCTTATAGGTTTGGGATAGGCAGTGGAGTCAGGAGCAATTTTTTGTGGGCAGGGGATGGATGTTACAAAGTACATTCTCAAGGACGGGGAATATCACAAAGTACATTATCACAAGGGCGGGGGAACGTCACAATGGCTTGATCATGGTGCGGCCAGCCCAGAGGACCTTACATTCCTGTCTTTTTATGTTAATAATGAAGAAATAAAATGAGAAAGTGTAGTGAAAACTTGGGGTGAAAATTTTGGGGATCGTATGGAGGGGTGATGGGCGACGTTTCTCGGGGCTACTTCAAGCCGGATTAGGGGCAGCTCAGGAACCTAAAGTGGGAGAGACTAGACTGAACTGAGGTTTTGGGGTAAGGGGTCATATTGTGGGGTTGTTAAAAGCAGCATTTGTCACATAGAGTGATTAGTGATAGCCTGGATGTGGTTTTGTAGGAATTGAGAGATGAATCGGGAGACACAGGCCGGAATAAGAGAAGGAGGAAGATAGGTATTAGAGGACTAACGACTGGAAGAAGCCAGGATACCCAGTTAGAGAGTGGCCAGGTGGGTCCACCATAATTAGTTGCCTGATTGGCGAGTTTTTGAGCTTTGTCTTTGAGTTTTTCATGTTATCATATACCAGGCCAGATTAAGTAAAAACAACACTCTTTGTTAAGAAATATACAGTGTCCTCCTTTTTCAGCAGTGAGTAAATCGAGGCCTCAGCGGTTCTGGAGGACAACTACAGCTAAAGAGTCAACCTGGGCTTGGAAGACAGATAAAGTTTGTGATATATCTGTAATGCTAGCAGAGAAGTCATTAGAGAGGCTGCGGAATGTTGTGACAAAGGTTGAGATGCCTGCTATTCCAGTTCCAAGTGCAGTAGCGGTGGCAGAAAGTCCTAGACCCACAAGTAAAGGGATTAGTGGGATGACTCTTTTTTGTTGTGTTGGTGTCATGAGGGGGACAGGCAGTTGTTCATTCCCATCTGCAAGCTGGATTTTGGGGGTAAAGAAGACTAGAGTATATGTTCCCAACCAGTTGGCAGGTAGGCACATGTAGGTGGAAGAGCCACATTAAAAAAAGCGATTTTGTGTCAGGCAGAACTAGAAATGTAAAGTGGAAAGGTGAGAGGGTGTACTGAAGGAGGAGTCCTGCTAACAAAATCGTAGAGATCCAGCAAGGGCAGCAGCCATTTGAGGTTGCAATGGGCATTAATGGTGCAACTGCATAGAGGGAGATGTTCGATTCTCACGGTGTATGAGAAATCGCATAGTGTCTACAAGTAATCTTTCACTGCTATTCATGGGGCTGGGTATAAGCAAGCAAGAGGAGGGGCCAAGAGGAAAGTCAGATGAGCAAGGGGAGGGTAGCCAAGGATGGAGTGAGATGCAGGGTAGGTGTCTTCCTAAACAATAGTGACTGCCAATGTTTTTTTGGTTTGTCAATAATGATAGAGGGCTTATCAGTAATGCAAAGTTGGAATCCTCCTATCTGTTTGGTGATGTATGTGGCCGGGTTCTGGAGATAGAGTACAGGAACATTTGGATGGTGGAAGGTTGCCTAAAGGGATTCCCATAGGCTGTTGTCGGGAGACACATAAAGCAGTGGCAACAGGGATAGTTTTCTGTGTGGTTAGGGGTCCAAATATTGGGGGGTGGGGGGTGGAATTGACATAAGAAGAAAGAAGCTGTAAGTAGGTGTGGAGAAGTGTGGCACCTTGTTGGTGCGAAATGTATAGGGAGTTCTCACCAAATCTGTCTAGAAAGTAAAGAAGTTCCTCAGGCAGGTAAAGATGAAGGCTATTAAAGGAGGTTCGGAGGTGCAGTGAGACAGGAGAGGTAGCCTAGTCATCCTACAGAGCGGGGATGATTGCATAAGAGCAGGAAGAAAGGGAAACACATAGTCAACAATTCTTTGCTAGAGAAGGATTGGAGACAGTAAGCAGAGAGTGGGTGAGATTGATAGTATGCTAGAGGTAACTAGGGAGAGGTAGAGAGACTGGAGAATGGGGGCAAGGATAAGAGTGAGTAGAAAAGTAAAAATAAGGACTTCATCAGGATAGAAGAATTGGAGTGTACCTTGTCACTGAAGATCTTCTATCCACTCCAAGAGAGAGTTAAGGTGGCAGTTTAAGGTAAAACCAGGAGATATCAGTGATGATGATTTGGAGGAAAAGTGTAAACTGGCAGTGTAAACAAGGGCAGGGCATTTGTGAATAGTTGAGAATGGTGAATAGGAGTATGACTAGACAGATGATAGAGATAACAAGTTTTGGGGGCTCAGTCCAAGTAGTGGGGGTGACTGCGTAAAGCCCTGTTGCAAAAAGTAGGGAAAGGAAGAAGAGAGCTAATAGAATGAAGGGATGTATTAGGCTAATAAGGGTTATTACTGTTCTTCAGAAATGTGAGTGAGTTTAAGGGAAGTAGCGGAGAGTACTTGCGACTTCCAGGAGGAAGAGGAGAGATGAGACTGGCTGTCCAACAGACACAGCTTTATTCTGGAAAGGTGAACACAGTGGGGAGGGTCCTGCAGGCAGACAGCAGTTGGGGTACCATAGATGACTAAGTAGGGTCCAGTCCATTGAGGTTGTAGAGTTTGAGGGGTCGTATTCTTAACAAGAATTGATTGTCCAGCTAGGGTATCTTCATATGGCTGGGAATCTGGAGTAGGCAAGAGAAGATTAGCAGCCTGCCGAATTTCCTGTCTAGCCTGCTTGAGGACTGGAAGATAGTCGCCTAGAGGGCTGGTGTCTGGCATGAAGTTGGGGCCCAAAAAGAAGGTGCATCCATATAAAAGTTCAAATGGACTATACCCTGTAGCTTCTTGAGGACAGCCTCTAGTTCTAAGGAGGGCAAACGGTAAAAGTACTGTCCAGTCTTTTTTAAGTTGGAGGCTGAGGTTGGTGGGGTAAGTTTTTAAAAGACCATTAGTTCTTTCTACCTTTCCTGAAGATTGAGGATGGTGGGGGGCATGAAGTTTCCACTGGATGCCAAGCACTTGGGAGACTGCTTGAGTGACCTGACTAATGAAGGCGGGTCCGTTATCGGACTGTATAGAAGTGGGAAGGCCAAACTGAGGAAATATGTCTGACAGAAGGGAAGAAATGGCCGTGGTGGCCTTCTCAGACCCTGTGGGAAAGGCCTCTACCCATCCAGTGAATGTATCTACCCAGAACAAAAGCTATCTTGGTTTTTTGACATGGGGCATATGGGTAAAGTCAATCTGCCAGTCTTGGGTGGGGGACAAATCCTCAAGCTTGATGTGTAGGAAAGGGAGAGGACCTAAGTTATCCCCAAGGGGTGGTAGAGTAGCAGATGGAATACTGAGAAGTAATTTCCTTGAGGATGGATGTCCATGATGGAAAAGAAATTAGAGATTCTAACAGTTGGGCCATTGGCTTGTAACCCACATGAAAGAGGTTATGAAAGGATGATAAGATAGAATAAGCCTGTGAGGCAGGAAGGAGGAACTTTCCTTGATCCAACAACCATTTGCCTTATAAGTAGGAAGGGATTGATAGGTAATAGTTTCAGTGGGAGGATAGGTGGGAGTGATAGAGGAGAAGGAAAAAAAAACTGGCCACGAGGGACAGATGTGGGAATACTAGCTGCTTCTTTTGCTGCATTATCAGCATAAGCGTTGCCTCGAGCAATGGGATCTGGTGACCTCTGATGCCCTTCAGTGAATGACTCTGGCTTCCTTGAGAAGTAGAGCAGCCTTAAGGAGGATTTTTATTAAGGAAGCATTGATGATGGAGGACCCTTCTGTAGTGAGAAAACCTCTTTCTGCCAGCATAACAGCATGGTGATGTAGGATGTGGAAGGCATACTTGGAATCAGTGTAGATACTGACACATAGTCCCTTTGCAAGGGTGAGAACCCAGGTTAAAGCAGAGTTCAGCTTGTTGAGAGGTAGTGGAAGGGGGCAGGCAGTACCTTCAGTGACAGATGTGGAAGACACTACAGCATAGCCAGCTCTTGCCAGTGACTGACGATTCGGCTTTGAAGAACGACCATCAATAAACCAAGTGTGGTCTGGATTAGGAACAGGGAAGAGGAAAATATGGGGAAATGGGGAGGATGCCATATGGATTAGAGATATACAGTCATGCAGTTCAGGTTTGGTGCTAGGTATAAGGTGGGAGGCTGGGCCAAAGTCTGTGCCAGGAACAATGGTAACTGTGGGAGTTTCAACGAATAGTGAGTACAGTTGGAGGAGTCTGAGAACAGAAAGTATATGTGCCAAGTGTGAGAAGGAAAATAGATTCTGAAAGTTATGAGAGCTATAGAGAGTAAATGGGGCATGGTTTGTGATCTGGAGGGACTCTAGTAGTATTGAAGCGGCGGCTGCTACTGCACGTAAACATGAGGGCCAGCCTAGAACTGTGAGGTTAAGTTGTTTGGATAGGAAGGCTACAGGTTGTGGGCCTGGTTCCTGTGTAAGAACTCCGACCACACAGCATTGTATTTCAGCTGTATGTAAGAAGAAGGATTGGGACGAGTTCCGGAGTGCTAATGTGAGAGCTGTTTCTAGGGCTGTCTTTAAGGAATGAAAAGAAGAGTGGGGAAAGGACTTAGGGTCTATTGGGTCAGTCAGGTTTCCTTTTGTGAGTTTATATAGTGGTTTAGTTAGGATGGCAAAACCTGGTATCCAAAGCCTAAAGTATCCAACCATGCCTAGGAAGGAAAGGAGTTGTTGCTTTGTAGAAGCAGAGATTAGCCGGACATGGTTAGCAGGGAGAGCACATGTGTTTTGATGAAGGACTATGCCAAGATAGGTAATAGATGGGGAAGAAATTTGGGCTTTAGAGGGGTATACCTGATACCCCTTTGATAATAGATGTTTAAGGAGCAGGGAGGGGTATCCTGTGGGAAAGATTCGTAAGAGGGGCTGCCAAGGAGAATGTCGTCCATATATTGAATAACGTGAGAAACAAGTGGAGGGAAAGAAATAAGGAGATAGAGCTTGACTAAAGTAATGGGGGCTGTCTCTGAAGACTTGCAGCTGTACAGTCCAGGTGAGTTGCTGAGATTGGTGGATGTGAGCGTCAGTCTATGTGAAAGTGAAAAGAGGTTGGGATGAGGGGTGCAAAGGAATAGTGAAGAAAGCATCTTTGAGGTCAAGGACAGAATAATGAGTTGTGGAGGGAGGTATTGAGGATAGGAGACTATATGGGTTTGGCACCACAGGATGGATAGGTAAGTCAATTTGTTTAACAAGGAGAAGATCCTGAACCAATCTGTAAGATTTGTCCAGTTTCTGGACAGGTAGGAAATGGGAGTTGTAAGGAGAATTTGTAGGCTTTAAAAGGCCATGCTGTAACAGGTGAGTGATAACAGGCTTTAGTCCTCTTAAAGCCTGTTGTGGGATGGCATACTGGCATTGAGCAGAGTAAGGGTGACTAGGTTTTAATGGGATGGTAAGGGGTGCCTGATTGGTTGCCAAGGAGGGACTAGAGGTATCTCATACTTGTGGATTAACATAGGGAGACAAAAGAGAAGGATTCAAAGGAGGCCTTGAATTGGGTAAAAGGGCAGCAATGAGGTGTGGCTATAGTCCAGGAATAGTCAGGGAAGCAGATAATTTAGTTAAAATGCCTCGACCTAATAAGGGAACTGGGCAAGTGGGGATAACTAAAAAAGAGTGCATAAAAGAATGTTGTCCAAGTTGACACCAGAGTTGGGGAGTTTTAAGGGGTCTAGAAGCCTGGCTGTCAATACCCACAACAGTTATGGGGGCAAGGGAAACAGGTCCTTGAAAAGAAGGTAATGTGGAATGGGTAGCACCCATATCAATTAAACAGGTGATGGACTTACCCTCCACTATAAGAGTTACCTGAAGCTCGGCATCTGTGATGGTCCAGGGGGCTTCTGAGTCTATTGGGCAGCATCAGTCTTCAGCCGCTAAGCCGAGGAGATCTGTGAAGGAGACGGCCAAGAAACATTGGGTTTGAGCTCCACGAGCTTTAGGAGCTGTGGTGATGTGAGTGAGAGAGTCTGACTTCCAGTGGGGGCCCGTACAGACAGGGCATGGCTTAGGAGAAATCCTGGGCTGAGGGCATTTCAAGGCCCAGTGGCCAGACTTTTGGCATTTGAAGTAAGGTCCACAAAGAGGATTTGAAGGAACCCCTGGGAAAGGTGGCTTGGATGTTCTGAAGGTTTTGTATGCTGGAGACATGGTTGTGGGTTGTTTTACATGGAGGCCAGTAGCTGTAACTCAGAGCTACGTTGCCACTCGGCGGCTTCTTCTCTGTTATTGAACAGAGAGGCGAGTTTGATTACATCCTGTTGCGGGGGGGGATAGAATCCAACTTTTGGAGATTTTTTCTAATGTCAGGAGCAGATTGGGTGATAAAATGCATATTAAGAATAAGGTGGCCTTCTGGCCCCTCTGAGTCTAGGGCTGTAAAGTGTCTAAGGGTAGCTGCTAAGCAGACCATGAACTGGGCTAGGTTTTCATCTTTACCTTGGGTAGTTTCCTTTAGCTTGCCGTAATTAACAGCTTTGTATGCTGCCTTTTTGAGTCCCTTGACTAAGCAGGAGACCATGTAATCTTGCCTAGCTATACCTGGGGAGTCCATCTGGTATTGCCAATGGGGATCCTCTCAGGAAACTGCCCTGGTGCCCTCTTGGAGGCCTGGCTCATGAAGCTGGCAGGAGTCTGACTGGACTGGGCTAAAAAATAAACTCTTATTCATCTAGGGAGAAGGTAGAGGTCAGGATGACATTTAAGTCACTCCAGGTTAAATTGTAGGACTGAGTTAGATATCGGAATTCCTGTATATATTTAGTGGGGTCTGATGAGAAACAGCCTAAACGCTGGCTGATTTGGGAAAGATCTGATAGAGAAAAAGGCACATGTACCCTGACTATGTTTTCAGCTCTAGCCACCTCTCTAAGAGGAGATTGTTGGGCAGGTCGAAGAGAGCTAGTCATGGAACGAAACTGTAAGCCAGACAGGGTGTGAGGATGGGAGGTAATAGAAGGGTTATAGGGTGGGGGAGCAGAGGCTACTGAAGAATTGGGACCTGATTCAGCCTGGGACCCTATTCAGCCTGGCAAGGAGCAACTACGGGAGGAGAAGAGAGATTAGACGGGTCAGTGGAAAAGAAGGTTTCAGAGGACTCTGAGCTAGGGGTTTAGACTGAAGGAGTGGACAGGAGAGAAAGAAGGAAAATGTGGGACAAGTCACATTGGGAGCAGAGACTAGGGAGAGAGTGAAGTATAAAAATTGCGTGGACATAAGGCAGCTCAGACCATTTGCCCAAGTTTCGACAAAAATTATCTAGGTCTTGTAGGATGGACAAATCGAAAATGCCATTCTCTGGCCACTTGGAACTATTGTCGAGTTTGTATTGGGGCCAAGCGGTATTACAGAAGAAAATAAGGCATTTAGGTTTTAGGTCAGGTGTTAGTCTAAGGGGTTTTAGCTTTTTAAGAACACAGGCTAAGGAGGAAGAGGGAGGAATGGATGGCAGAAGGTTGCCCATAGTGGAGAAGGTAAGTTGATAGAGGAAGGTAGAGACACCGAGAAATAGAGGTGAACAGCTACCAGGCTTCCAGTAGGCGTCCCTGACTGAGTCCAGGGCTGTAATGTGGGTGAGCAGCCAAAGCAGGCATGCCTGCAAATTGACTTGCTACCAAGGGAATGTTGGTGAATGATCAAGGCAGGCATCCCCACAGTGATCAGACACCAAGGGAAGACTGTCTTCCCAAGCCCGTGACCAACGTCGGAGTTTTTGAATGCACGGATAAAGTGTGTCTCCTTTTTGTCTCTACCAGGAAGGGAGAGAAATTTAAATTGAAAGGAGAGAGATTGAAGGGAGGCGAGAGAGGTTAGGTAGAGAGTGAAAAAACTGCTTATCTGAGTGCAAAGAACTGCTTAGTGATTTGAAATTGGTGAGATGGTACTTGAGCTGGCAGGTCTGATGACCCAAGGTCATAGGTGGATCTCCTCACGGAGGGAGCATGAGGACAGGTGACTGGTCTTCTGAAGGAGTTCCCCTGTCCCAGGTCTTCGGCACCAAATGTTACATGTGTCCGTATAAGACACCACCTGAACAGGCTTAACGAGAGCAACAAGGTTGTTTATTCACTTGGGTGCAAATGGGCTGAGTCCGAGAAAGGAGTCAGCGAAGGGTGGTGCGATTATCATTGGTTCTTACAGGTTTGGGATAGGTGGTGGAGTCAGGAGCAATATTTGCAGGCAGGGGATGGATGTTACAAAGTATATTCACAAGGGCTGGAGGGTGTATTGTCACAAGGGTCGGGAGGAATGTTACAAAGTACATTCACAAAGACAGGGGTGGGGGCGGTGGGGATGGTGGGGGAATATCACAAAGTACATTATCACAAGGGTGGGGGAATGTCACCATAGCTTGACCATGGTGTGGCTAGCTCAGGGGACCTTACAATAACTAATTATAGAGTCTATAATATACAATGTATATTAGTTACTTTTTTTAAGTATAATCTCCACTAGTCTCTCACAAGAAACAGATGTTTCTCTAAATTTTAACCATCATCAGAGACTAAAAGACATTTAATATAATAATAAAATTCTAAAATAGAAGTCCAAAAATATAAAGCAAACAAAAGATATGCTCCTTATAGTAACTGGGAAAATAAATTCTATTCCTGAGAATTTTGCTCAAAAACAAAATTAAACAATAATTTTAAAAAAGAACTAAAATTTAATTGGTAATGGTCTAATATGGTGATACATCAGTTAAAAAAATCTTTGGCAACAGTAATCCAAATTTTTCAATTTTGTGGATGTGCATTTCGTCTGTGCCAATAGAAGTTCACACAAGTTAACATTAAAGCTAGTGCCACATTCCTTCCATTTTTGTGACTTCATTATCTCCTAGTGCCTTGGAGTTCTCTGAATCAAGCCAGCAAAAGGAAAAACAGAGTATATGGAGGAGCCAATATTGCTAGTAAAAATAACCTATGGAGTGGTATATATCACTTCCCCTCCCACGTTGTAGCCTGAACTGGATGGGAGAATGGATTCAGAAGTCAGTTATGTACTGAAGGTGTCCCTGGAGAAGAAGCACTGCTAGTTGTAGGTATCAAATACTCATGAAATGGCTTGTGATGGTAGCTATGATTGTGGCCAGAAGCAAAAGTCATTTACTGGAATTAATATTTGCCTTCCAAATCTTGAATGCTGTACTCATTTAAAAAATCTTGTAGGCCGGGCACAGTGGCTGATGCCTGTAATCCCAGTACTTTTGGAGGCCAAGGTGGGCGGATCATGAAGTCAGGAGATCGAAACCATCCTGGCTAACACTGTGAAACCCCATCTCTACTAAAAATACAAAAAAATTAGCCAGGCGTGGTGGCATTCGCCTGTAGTCCCAGCTACTCCGGAGGCTGAGGCAGAAGAATTGCTTGAACCCAGGAGGCGGAGGATGCAGTGAGCCGAGATTTGTGCCATTGCACTCCAGCCTGAGCAACAGAGCGAGACTCTGTCTCCAAAAAAAAAAAAAAAAAAAAAAACCTTTAAAGTAAAATAATAATTCAAAGGTTTCCATAATGTAAGTTGCATTAGTACTATATTCTAAAAAAATAGCCTCTTTTCCTAGTTTAGGAGCAGATTTGGAATGATTAGGCTTGTGATTTTTACAACAGAGCAGCACAGAATATCAAGTCTGGGTCATAAAACTGACACAAACTAATATCTCCAATATTTGTAAAACTATATAAGATCCCTGTGTTGTTTAAAATATTTTTACGAAGTTAATTTTTTTAGCTTACACTGTAACAGAATTGACTTTAGTAAGTAATTGCTTTAACCATTGCTTTATCTTTTGTTGCAGATTTTTCTAAGAAATTGTCTTGTACACTCACTTTCTGTTGATCTCAACTTAAAGACAATTAGTGCATCAGGGTTGAAAACCTTGAAGGATTCATGAGTCTTGAGTGAGATCAGTATTAAGGAAGGAGATGGTTCCCAGTTTTGTGTTGTCAAACTAGGGGAAATCAAAAAGGCAACATCTAGGGCTGAGAGTCCATCAACAACCAGAATGACAATTTCAAAAAGGTATTCCAAGTGCACCAGGCCAAAGGAAAAGCCCAGGTATGATGGTATGAAAATGAAGTAATCTGGTTGAAGACAGAAACAAGCTAGATTCAATGAAATACTAGAATATGAAGGCAGAAATCACTTTATAAATAAAATGAGGTTTCTTCTATGAGAGAAAGGGTACAATTGTGAGTCACAAGACAGTGTGTAATATTATTCAATTATATACAAAAAAGTTTTGTTTTTGTTTTTTTGAGACAGAGTCTTGCTCTGTCTCCCAGGCTGGAGTGCAGTAGCGCGATCTCGGCTCACTGCAAGCTCCGCCTCCCAAGTTCACGCCATTCTCTTGCCTCAGCCTCCCGAGTAGCTGGGACTACAGGCACCCGCCACCATGCCCGGCTAATTTTTTGTATTACAAAAAAGTTTTTAAGAATTAAGACAATTACTATTTGATTCAAATGCAAATTTAGCAATGACTGTTTTCTTCCAAACTTATAAAGAAAACCATGACATTGCTCTAAAATAAGTTCAAGGTGAAAGACTAGGTGGCAGATCAATCCTTTGACAATACACAGTATTTTTTCTCTTCTGAAATATAAAAACTTTAAAATTGTGCTAAGCCCAGTATTTTAAAAAAAGTGAAGTAGTGTCTCATTTCACTAGTGAGAAAACAAAAACATATGAAGAAAGAAAAATGGCTACATTATTTCGCCAAATAGAATAACCATGATAACTGGGAACAATAGTTATAATAAATAAATTCTTCAGTAAATGGGAGAAGTTTAATTAGAACCAGTAAACTCTCTTTTTGACTCAGACGCTAAATTTTTACCATCCAATACTGACAATAAAATTTTATTTATTTTTGCTTTTCCTGTTGTATTAATGAAAATATTAACTATTAAAAATATGAAATAAAGTGGAATAGAAATAGAAAATCAAGACCAAAGAAAAGTAAACCACATTTATATTCCTGAAAAGGCTATCATAATAGATTTAAGATTTAAAACTAATCTCAACTAAACAGCCAAGTCTTTAGGGACCACCTCTTCCCTATCTGAAATAAGGAGACACAATTATTTCTTAGGGGGGTGTGGGGGGACTTTTCTCAATACTAAATTTTAAAATAAATGTATTCCGTGCTTAAATGCAAAGTAATGTACAGCATGCAGTCTCTTGTCAACATTTGTATAGTAAAACAAGAAAAATAGAAGAAAAAAGAGAAGCAGAAATTTCGTTTTAGCACAGTATTATTGCACAAGTTATGGGACATGAGGGTGAGTGGAATAGATGACAGGTCAAAGAAGGACTGTCTTGCTTACGTTTTTCATTCATGAAAGGGCTCATGAAATTTAAATCATTATTGTAATTGTCTAAATAGCAATAATGATCAAAATTGGTATTGCTAAATATAAATATTATAAATATACTACATTTTAAAACAGTTTTACCATTTTTAAATGGCATGTCTGTCAGGGCAAAAATATACTAAAGCTAGAAAAGAACAATACAATAAATGAATTTAAAAAATTAAATAGTATGGGCCATGGTCTCTATATAAAATAGGGCCCTGGATTCCAGAATGTGCCAAATAACTTTGCTTCATTTCTAATTGGACAAATTGCTCTATTATGCACAAAGTCGACGTAGAAAGAATTAAACTTAATAAATGCTAATAAGTAACTACTGAAAAGTATCACCTGAAGTATGTGACTTTCTTGTGATGAATCAAAATAATATCACTTTCAAATATTCATGTAGTCTAATGGCATAATTAAATGTCCATGTAGCCTATTACAGAAGTATGAAGTATACAAAATTCCACAGATCTGTGACTCTATGAAAGCAAATTACTTGGATAAACATACGTTACCGATTTTCAGCATTTGAGGACTGAAACCAAACAAAATATTTAAAAAATGTTTTAAGAAGTGTAATGCATGGCTGTTAGAAGCTGTGATTTCCTTTCTGTATTTATGAAAAAACTCTTCAAAGCTAATCATAATTTACAAATTAAATGGACTCTTGTTCAATATCTCTTAAACTCTCTGCAGTATTTAAATTTTTCTATATCAACTTTCTTATTCAAGAACATTTTTTCTTTGTATTTGTCTTAAATGGTAACTCTCCTCCTAATTCTATTTCACAAAGCCTGCTTCATTTCTGTGCTGTGTTATCCATCTTCCTTTGTCTTCCCCTCATGACAGATGCATTCCAAATTCTTGTTCTTGGCCTTCTTTTGTCTATATTTATGGTTAATTCCATCTTTTCCACAAATTTATGATAGTGGCTCTATAGAAGACCCTTTTAACAAATTGTAAAAATCCTTCCCTTGCCTACAAGGTTACAGATAACCTGGCACCAGCCCTTCCCTCTGGTCTCACTCCTACTACTGCACTCCTTCACGCATTATGTGACAGCTACTTTGGGTTGATTTTCTGAACGTGCCAAGATTATTACTGTTTTAAGACCTTTGAATTAATACCCTCTGCCTGAATTTCTCTGCTCACACACAGGGTCTTATTGTCAAAACTTTTTGGTAATTAATATGTTATCATACACATCTCTTATGATCACTCTTGTTTTTCAAAGATTCTGGACTGATGTCACTGTTTAACCTATGGACTATGGAATCACTTTGTATAGTTCTAAGCAATAAGAACAAATTTTATCAATTATTTTCATTAAGTTCATGTAAATGTTATAGAGTAATAGATGAATGTAGGAAGAAATGGCATCATTAGGGTATGGAGAAGCTGTTCCGTTGGTTCAGATTTGGCATATATGTGTGTGTGCGTACACATTTCTTCCTCAGTGGTATTTTAACATTTCCTTTATGTGGATCTCACGTATTTCTAAAGGTTAAGTTTAGGTTACTTATCTTGTTGTGGTGATTGGTGCTGCTATTGTAATTTTTTCACTACATTATATACTTTAGTGATTTTATGAAGAATATTTATTTTTGTTTACATAGAATCTTTTAAAAGTTATCATTCTTTCCAAACTACACTCTTAACAAATGGGCTGATGGGCTGAATTAGTCTAACTTATTTTGGTATTCTCTTCCACAATGCTGTTTTTCTTTACACAATGCTCAAACAAATTAATTAATTAAATTCTTACAAACTCTATGAGATAGGCAATAGTACTATCCATACTTTGTAGATGAAGTGAGGAAACAGAGACAGAAAGAGGATAAATATATTTTCAAGGCTGCCTAGCTATTAATAGTAAGTACAGTATACAGGATTGAAACTCAGTTTGACTCCAGAAGCAACTCTGCCACTCTAGATAATATTTTATATGTATTTCTGTTTCTTCAACTAGCTTTCTTCCATACATTGGGAAGCTGATGAAACACACACCTTAAGTATATGAGCAAAGCATCACTTGTTTCTCTTATGAGCTACCTAGTACAAAGCAAGCAAAAAGCATTTAGATTGGGAAAAATTCCATAAGCCGGAACATAAAGGACCTTTTTAAAAAGCAAATCCACTATTTCAATGGATTTATTTTTTCCCAAAAAAGAAAGTGAATTTCCTTGGAGTTGATGACAAATGGTGTTGCTACCTGAGGATAAATGCCAAGGAGTTCTTAAAGATGGAGTCAGATGATTAAGGAAAAAGTATGGAGACAAGGAATGCAATAGTTCTATGTATAAAGTTTAAACTACTTCCAGCTCTCCTTATGTTTTTAGACCTCCTGTCTCCAATCTCCATCAAATGGGTGGAGCTTGACATTTTCATAGGATCGCATGTAGGGTTTCATGTAGTGTCTATTTTCTGTTATTAAACTGCTTTATGGACTTATTAATTGTTTAGCCTGCTTCATATTTTAAAATCTATATTTTATCGTTCTTATATTCTTTAAGGTTTGTATCAGATATTTTAATGGATTTTACAAGGTGAGAGACCTTTTTCCCCATTGTTACATCCTCATTGTGGTTGGGTGTTTATTTACACAAATATTTAAAATTACCTTGTGTCCATGATTGACTTTTTACCTTTTAATTTTCCTCTATCAGACATGAATATTTCCACATTGCATTCATTTTGTTGTGAGTTTTGTTGTTTAGTATTTTTTGTCACATATTTTCTGATCCCTATAATCATTTCCATTGATTTCTCACGTAGATTTGTGAGAACTAGTTATATTTTGATGCTTTTGTTTTATGGCCCAGTTTGAAGAAGATCATTCTTCTTCAAACGTTAGAGTTTAACCTTTGTACTTACAGCAATATACTGTAGTAATAAACGGTAGGTTTTATTTCAGTCATAATTTTATCCTTCTCTTCTTTTAAAAATCCTTTCTTGTTATTCTTATGTTTCATGTCATCTGCAGTATTAAACATTTTGCTTTTTAGAATTTTGTATTAATTTGGATATCAATTCTAATGAAACTCTAATGAAAATTTAATAATGCTTCATTTGTTTATACTGATGCAATACATGTGAAAAGATCAATATTTCTCTAAAATACCAAGATAATTTTACCATTTTATTAATGAATATATTCATATTTAGGCACCTAATAAGTGTTTATCTTCACAACTTTTTTGTTTTTGTTATTTAAATTCTGAATTGCTTTTCCTTAGCTACAGATTATTATTACTAATTTAATTTGCAGTCTCTGTTATTGATTACATTTAATTTTTAACATTTTGTTTGGATAGAACATTTATTTTCTCAGTTGTAGTACTCACTTTGCTTTGTCTTAGTTTTTCAACCCTCTAGTTTAAGTTTGGCTTTAACACGAAATGTATGATGGTGAAGACTTGACATACATATCCAAGTCAATGTTACACTTTTCTGTTAAGTATCTTCCCTTAAATGGCCTGAAGCCACATCAACCACAAGGAACCCTCAACTGAATTCCTGATCTTACCTACGAATCTGCTTCTCCTTTTTCACCCACCCTGTCTCTGTTTAGGCATAATGGCATAGTATACCTGCTAAGTTCATCTTGATAATTCTGATCTCTCTCCTGATGATCCTCATTGGTTGGTCTCAAATTCTGTTGATGCTGTCTGTAAGATACCTTTGAATTCTATTCCTTTCTCTGTAAACCTACTATCACTTCTTTTAGCAAAGACTTCATTTTTCCACTCATTAACTATTTCTTAGTTGGTTAACTGATATCCCTAGTCAAATTCTTGAGTTTCCTTCCCCCAAATAATTCTCTCAACTATCACCAGAAGCTATTTCTAACATGCAAGTTGATTATATAACACTTCTCTGCAATTCTTTAATTATTCTTTGTCACTTCCAGGGGGAAAAAAAATCCAGCCCTGCTAGGATGGCATAAATGTTCTTCATGCCCCAATTTGTGCTTAACTTTATTTATAGTCTCAGCAGTTGCCATCCCTTCAGTTGCTCCTGCCTGCGACAGGCATTCTCAGTTCCAGCCACATTCAGTATTGCTATTCCCCACTTTTATGCCTTTATATATATTCTCCTGCCAGTGATAGAGAAATTTAAATTTCCCTTAAAGATTAAAGACCTTGAATTCAATTCCCAAACCTTCAGCATATATAAATTTTGCTTTTTCATAAATATTTCAGTCACATTAAGATAATGATTATTTTCAGCCTTATTATATACATACATGAAATTGCAATTAAATATCACAACGTGTATTTGAAAACTTACAATAGCAGTTTTTGAATTTGTTTCTTCCTCCCATTTTGTAAATGAAGAACTTTAATTTTCTTTGTAGAATGAACTAAACATTGCCCGTGAAGTGAAGAAACCCTGCTACCCCACACACTTAGCACAGGCATTCCACACCTTTTGTTTACGTATCATTTGGTCATAATGTCATCTATTTCTCAGGATTATATTCATTGATTACATATTTATCTCTCTGATTAGGTAGTGACTTTCCTAAATAAAATTACTTTTTTTACTAGTTTTCTTTTAATATCATTTAGTATAACTCTGGCATTAAGCAGAAATGAGGCACTTATTAGATTACAGATTTTTTAAATAAAAATCCCCCATATATTAAGAAAATAAAGTGAATGTTTTAAATATTTGCTACATAATTTTCAGATTATTGGCTAATTGAGATCACTTTTATAGTGTTCATTCACATATTTAAAGAGCCCTTTCTTGCTGACATTTGTTAACTCATGTATTAACAGTTATTTAAAATATAGAAACTGTATTGAATAATTCATTCTGCCCTATTCACCTCCCAAAAGCTAATTACCTAATTTCCATGACCTTTGTGTGGTTTTCAATTTGATTTCATAGTCAAATCAACAAATGCTTACTGAGCGGCCAGTATGTGTAAAGTAATGTGGTTATTTAATTAAAGTTAATTTTTGGCTTATATTAATTATATCTTCAGCCAGAATTTGATGGCAGCACAAAAGGAAGTTTTTGTGCCATGTTATCATTTAGGCACAAGTTTAATCAAACAAATATTTAGTCCTTATAATATGGTAGCACATATGCTAAGTGATGGAAATAAAATAGTTGAATATAACTTTATCCTTGCCCTTGAGAAAATTAATTACAGTGTTCTATTGAGCCTATTTTTTCATTCTTTTTTTAATGTTCAATTATAATTCATACCATGTAGTTTATGTCACATAATTTTAATGTTAAACTTAAATTCAGTTTTAAACTATTCATAACTATTCAGAAAAAGTTTGAAAATTATTTCAAAAGAATAAGAAACTAAGAATACTAGAGTTTATTTTGCATGTACCATGTGTCAACTGCTCTGCTGTGGTTTCATGTATTATCACATTTAAGTTTCAAAACAACTCAATTAGGTTGATACTTTGTTGTCCTCATTATTATGACAAGGAAACATGAACTTCAAGAATTTGTAAATTTGTCTATCATGTTAAGAAAGTATTTGGGGGAGTAAGGATTCAAACAAGCTCTGTGAGAGCACAGAGACTGAATGGCTATTTTCATAAGACTGAATGACCTCAATGGAAATATCTGGCATTAATTATGTGTCATATAATAATATTGGGTAACAAATAACCATAAAACTTCAGTGACAAACAATAACAAATATTTATTTTTCTCAGCAGTCTATGGATCAGCAGACAGTTTCTGCTGATCTGAGTTGACCTCAGCAGGGCTTCTTCAAGCACCTGTAGTGAGCTGCCAGTCAGCTGCCAGTGTGTATTCTCATATATCTGGGGCCTCAGCTGGGTCAGTTCTCATCTATGTGCACCATTTGCCAAGAGCTGAGTATAAGGAGATCTTCATGGAGAAGGCAAAAGACAAAGACAAAGAGAGTGGATACTGATAATGCCCCTTGAGGCTTAGGCTTGGAATTAGCACACCATTACTGCCACCATATTATGTTGGCAAAAGCAAGTCTAGTCCTGCTGAGATTCAGAGGGTAGGGAAATCAACTCTACCATTATATGTGAAGAGCTGCAAAGTGAATTTTCAAAGTCTACTGGGTACCAGGAAAAGACAAGAATTGTAGTTATTTTTCAAATTTAGTTTTTAATTTTTGTGGGTGCACAGTAGGTGTATGTATTTATAAGGTACAAGAGATATTTTGATACTTGTATACAATGCATAATCATCACATTAGGGTAAATGGGTGTCCATCAACTAACGGTTTTACCCTTTCTTTGTGTTACCAACAATCCAATTAAACCTTTTAGTTATTTTAAAATGTATAATAAATATTTGACAACTGTAGTCACCTTGTTGTGCTAGTGAATACTAGAATCTTATTCATTATTTTTTGTTTTGTTTTGTTTCTTGAGACAGGGTCTCACACTGTCACCCAGGCTGGACTGGAGTGCAGGGAAGGAATCACAGATCACTATTTCCTCAACTTCCTGGTTTCAGGTGATCCTCCCACCTCAGCATCCCGAGTAGCTGGGATTATAGGCACACACCACTATGCCCAGGTAATTTGTATTTTTTTACTAGAGACAGAGTTTTACCTTGTTGCCCAGTCCTGCTCTTGAACTCCTGGGCTCCTGGACTCAAGGGATCCACCTGCTTTGTCCTCCCAAAGTGCTGGGATTGCAGGTGTGAGTCATCATGCCTGGCCAAATACTAGATCTTGTTTATTTTATCTAACTATATTTTTGTATCCCTTAACCAACTCACATCCTCCCATCCCCCAATTACCCTTTCCACCCTGTGGTAACTATTGTTCTACTCTCTATCTCCATTAGTTCAAGTATTTTAATTTTTAGCTCCCACAAATATGTGAGAATATGCAAATTTCATCTTTCTGTGCCTGGCTAGTTTCACTTAACATAATTATCTCCAATTCCATCCATATTGTTGGAAATGACAGGATCTTATTCATTTTTATGGCTGTATAGTACTCCATTGCATACTTGTACTACATTTTCTTTTCCCATTTGTCTGTTGATGGACGCTTAGGATGCTTCCAGATCTAGGCTGTTGTGAATAGTGCTGCGATAAACATGGGAGTACAAACGTCTCTTTGAAATACTGATTTCCTTCCTTTTGGGAATGTATCTAGCAGTGGGATTGCTGAGTCATATGGTAGCTCTATTTTTAGTATTTTGAGGAACCTTTGAACTCTTCTCCATAGTGGCTGTGCTTATTTACATACTCACCAATAGTGTGCAAGGGTTTCATTTCCTTCCCTTTTCTACACATTCTTGCCAGCATTTGTTATTGCCTGTTTTTTTCAATGAAAATAATTTTAACTGGGGTGAGATAATACCTCATTTCAGTTTTGATTTGGATTTTTCTGATGATCGGTGATGTTGTGCACCTGTTCATGTACTTGTTTGCCATTTTTTTGAGAAATATCTATTCAGATCTTTTGCTTATTTTTAAATCAGATTATTAGATTATTTCCCATAGAGTTGTTTGTACTTCTTTTATATTCTGATTATTAATCCCTTGTCAGAGGGATAGTCTGCAAATATGTTGTCCCATTCTGCTGGTCTCTTGAATTTGTTGATTGTTTTCATTGTTATGCAGAAGTATTTTAACTTGATGTGATCCCATTTGTCCATTTTTTGCTTTAGATGCCTGTGCTTGTGGGTTATTTCTCAAGAAATATTTGCCCAGTTCAATATCCTGGAGAGTATCTCCAATGTTTTTGTTTAGTAGTTTCACAGATTGAGGTCTTAGATTTAAGTTTTATATCCATTTTAACTTTATTTTTGTATATGGCAAGAGATAGGGAACTAATTTCATTATTCTGCATTTAGATATCCAGTGTGTACAGCACAATTTATTGATGTGACTGTCCTTTCTCCAATATACATTTTAGGCACCTTTGTCAAAATGTGTTCATTGCAGACATATAAATTTGTTTTGGGGGAATTTATTCTATTCTACTGGTCTATGCATCTGTTTTTCTGCCAGTATCATGCTGTTTTGGTTGCTATAGCTCTGTAATTTAATTTGGAGTCAGGTAATATGATTCTTTCAGGTTTGTTCTTTTTGGTTCAGGATAGCTTTAGCTATCCTGGATCTTCAGTGTATCCATATAAAATTTAGGTTTTTTTTAATTTCTGAGAAGAATGTCATTGATATTTCGATATGGATTGCATTGATTCTAATCTGCAGATTGCTTTGGGTATTATGGACATTTAGACAATATTTATTCTTATGATCCATGAACATGGATTATCTTCTCTTTTAGGTGTCCTCTTCAATTTTTTGCATGAACACCTTCTATTTTTCATTGTAATGACCTTTCACTTTTACATTTAGGTATTTTATTTTATTTGTAGCTATTGTAAATGGAGTTACTTTTAAGATTTCTTTTTTAGATTGTCAGCTGTTGGCATGTAGAAATGCTACTGATTTTTGCACATTGATTTTGTATTCCACAACTTTATTGAATTTAATAGTTCTAATAGTTTTTGGTGGTATCTTTAGGTATTTCCAAATATAAAATTGTATCACCAAAAAACAAGAATAATTAGACTTTGTCTTTTCCAATTTGGATGCTTTTTTTTTTCTTTTGTCTGATGGCTCTAATTAAGACTTCTAGTACTATGTTGAATAACAGTGGTGAAAGTGGGAGTCCTTGTTGTGTTCCAGATCTTAGAGAATAGGTTTTCAGGTTTTACAGATTCAGCCTGATACTAGCTGTGGGTCTGTTGTATATGACTTTTAATATATTAAGATACATTTCTTCTATACCCAGTTTTTTGGGGGATTTTTTTTCCTGAAATGATGTTGAATTTTATCAAATGCTTTTTCTGCATCAATTCAAATGATATGTTTTTTGTTCTTTATTTTGTTGATGTAATGTATCACATTAATTCGTGTATGTTGAACCATCTTTGCATTCCTAGGAAAAATCCCACTTGTTTATGATGAGTGATTTTTTTTTAACTTTTATTTTAAGTTCAAGGGTACATGTGCAGGTTTGTTCTGTAGGTAAATTTGTGTCATAGGGGTTTGTTATAGAGATTATTTCACCACCCAGTTATTAAGCCTAGTACCCATTATTTATTTTTTTCTGATCCTCTCTCTCCTCCCTAATTCCATCCTCTGATAATTCCCAGTGTCTGCTGTTCTCCTATGTGCATCCATGTGTTTTCATTATTTAGCTCCCACTTATAAGTGGGAACATGTGGTTTTGGTTTTCTGTTCCCACATTGGTTTGTTAAAGACAATGGCCTCCAGCTCCATGCATGTTCATGCAAAGGACATGATCTCATTCTTTTTAAAGGCTGCACAGTATCCATGGTATATATGTACCACATTTAAAAAATCCAGTCTACCATTGATGGGCATTTAGGTTAATTCCATGTATTTTCTATTGTGAATAGTGCTGCAATGAATATACACATGAATGTGTCTTCATGATAGAATAATTTATATTCCTTTGGATATACACCCAGTAATGGGATTGCTGAGTCTAATGATTTTTCTGTTTTTAGGCCTTTGAGGAATTCTCACACTATTTTCCACAAAGGTTAAACTAATTTACATTCCCAACAACAGCGTACAAGCATTCTTTTTTTTCTGCACAACCTCACCAGCATTTATTTTTTGACTTTTTAATAATAGTCATTCTGACTGCAGTGAAATGGTATCTCATTGTAGTTTTGCTTTGTATTTCTCTACTGATCAGTAATGTTAGCTTTTTTCCATATGATTGTTGACTGCATGCATGTCTTATTTTTAAAAGTGTCTCTTCATGTCCTTTGCCTACTTTTTATTGGGATTGTTTGTTTCTTTTCTTATAAATTTGTTTAAGTTCTTTACAGATGCTGGATATTAGACCTTTCTCAAATGCATAGTTTGCAGATATTTTCTCCCATTCTGTAGGTTGTCTGTTTACTATGTTGACATTTTCTTTTGCTTTGCAGAAGCTCTTTAGCTTAATTAGATTCCATTTCTCAATTTTTGTCTTTGTTGCAATTGCTTTTGGTGTCTTTGTCATGAAACCTTTGCCCATCCTTAAGTACAGAATAATATTGCCTAAGTTGTTTTCCAGGGATTTTGTAGTTTTGGGTTTTACTTTTAAGTCTTTAATCCATCTTGAGTTAATTTTCATATACGGTGTAAGGAAGGGGTCCAGTTTCAATCTGCATATGCCTAGCCAGTTATCCCAGCACCATTCATTGAAGAGGTAGTCCTTTCCCCATTGCTTGCTTATGTCAGATTTGTCAAAGATTAGATTGTTTTAAGTGTGCAGTCTTACTTCTGGATTCTCTATTCTGTTCTATTTGTCTGTGTATCTGTTTTTGTACCTGTACCATGCTGGGTTTTGTTTGTTTGTTCTTTTACTGTAACCCCATAGTATAGTTTGAAGTCAGGTAGCATAATGCCTCCAGCTTTGTTCTTTTGGCTTAGGATTGCCTTGGCTATTCAAGTTCATTTTTGGTTCCATATGAATTTTAAAACAGTTTTTTTTCTAGTGCTGTGAAGACTGTTCTTGGTAATTTCAAAGGAATAGCATTAAATCTATACATTGCTTTGGGCTGTACTGACACTTTAATGATATTGATTCTTCCTATCCATGGAATGTTTCTTCCATTTGTTTGCATCGTCTCTAGTTTTTTTTGAACAGTGTTTTGAATTTCTTTTTGTATAGATCTTTCCATTCCCTGGTTTGCTGTATGCCTAGGTTTGTATTCTTTTTGTGGTAATTGTGAATGGGATTGCATTTCTGACTTGGCTCTTAACGTGACTGTTCCTGGACACATACCTGCTCCCAAGACTGACTCAGGAAGAAGGTGAATCCCTGAACACACCAATAATGAGATCTGAAGTTGAATCAGTAATAAATAGCGTACCAACCAAAAAAAAAAGCCCAGGACCAGACAGATTTACAGCTGATTTCTACCAGATGTACAAAGAAGAGTTGGCACCCTTCCTGCTGAAACTATTTCAAAAAATTGAGGAAGAAGGACTCCTTTTTAACTCATTCTATGAAGCTTGCATCATCGTGATACCAAAACCTGACAGAGACACAACAGAAAAAGTTCAGGCCAATATCCCTGATGAACACTGATGCAAAAATCCTCAACAAAATACTGGCAAGCTGAATCCAGCAGCAAGTCAAATGCTTATCCACCATGATCAAGTAGGCTTTATTTCTGGGATGCAAGTTTAGTTGAAGACATGCAAATCAATAAATGTGATTCATCACATAAACAGAACTAAAGACAAAAACCACATGATTGTATCAATCAATTTAGAAAAGGCCTTTTGTAAAATTCAACAGCACCTCATGTTAAACTCTTAATAAACTAGGTATTGAAGGAACATACCTCAAAATACTAAGAGCCATCTATGACAAACCCACAGCCAACATCATACTAAATGGACAAAATCTGGAAGCATTTTCCCAAATGATCTTTTTAATGTGTCATTGAATTCAGTTTGCTAGTGTTTTGTTGAGAATTTTTGCATGAATATCGACCAACAAGATTGGTCTGTTTTCCTTTTTGCATGTGTCTTTGGTTTTGTTATCAGGGTAATACTAACCTTGTAGAATAAATTTGGAAGTATTCCACTCTCTTCTATTTATCAGAATAGTTTGACTAGAATTACCACTAGTTTCTCTTTAAATGTTTGGTATAATTCAGCAGTGAAGCCGTCAGGTCTCAGACTTTTCTTTGCTGGAATACTTTTTGTTACATCTTTGATCACGTTAATTGTTATTGGTCTATTCATGCTTTTTTTTTTCATAGTTCAATTGTAGTAGGTTGTACATGTCTAGAAATTTATATATTTCTTCTAGGTGTTTCAATTCATTGGCATATAGTTGCTTATAGTAACTATGTCAGAATTGGTGGGTTCTTGGTCTTGCTGACTTCAGGAATGAAGCTGCAGACCCTAGCAGTGAGTGTTACAGTTCTTAAAGATGGTGTGTCCGGAGTTTGTTCCTTCAGATGTTCAGATGTGTCCAGAGTTTCTTCCTTCTGGTGGGTTCATGGTCTCGCTGACTTCAGGAGTGAAGCTGCAGACTTTGCATTGAGTGTTACAGCTCTTAAAGGCGGCGTCGGCGTCCGGAGTTGTTGGTTCCTCCCTGTGGGTTCATGGTCTCGCTGACTTCAGGAGTGAAGCTGCAGACCTTTGTGGTGAGTGTTACAGCTCATAAAGGAGTATTACAGCTCATAAAGGCAGTGCAAACCCAAAGAGTGAGCAGCACCAAGATTTATTGCAAAGAGCGAAAGAACAAAGCTTCCACAGGGTGGAAGGGGACCTGAGTAGGTTGCCGCTGCTGGCTCAACTGGCCTGCTTTAATTCCCTTATATGGCCCCATCCACATCCTACTGATTGGTCCATTTAACAGAGAGCTGATTGGCCCATTTAACAAAGAGCTGATTGGTCCATTTTACAGAGAGCTGATTGGTCCATTTTGACAGAGTGCTGATTGGTGCATTTACAATCCTTTAACTAGACACAGAGTGCTGATTGGTGCATTTACAATCCTTTAGCTAGACACAAATTTGTCCAAGTCCCCACCAGATTAGCTAGACACAGAGTGCTGACTGGTGTGTTTACAAACCTTGAGCTAGACACAGAGTACTGATTGGTGCGTTTACAAACCTCTAGCTAGACACAGAGTGCTGATTAGTGTGTTTACAATCCTTTTGCTAGACAGAAAATTTCTCCAAGTCCCCACCCAACCCAGAAGCCCAGCTGGCTTCACTTCTCAATGGCTTGCTTTTTGTGCTAACATATACGATATATCTTTGAGAATGATCTGTGTGCTGAGGAGCAGAATGTATATTCTGCAGCTATTGGATTCAATGTTCTGTGATTATTTACTAAGTCCACTTGGTCTATAGTGAAGATTAAGTCTGAAGATTCTGTCTAGATTTTTCTCTCTGGATAATATATCCAGTGATGAAAATGGGTTGTTGAATTCTCCTACTCTTATTGTATTGGAGTCTATCTCTTTAGCTGTAATAATATTTGCTTTATATATCTTGGTGTACCAGTGTTGTGTGTATATATTTATTTAAAATCATTATATCCTCTTGCTGAATTAACCCATTTAAGTATCACTACTCATGCTCTTTTTTGTTTCTACTGCAATGGAATATCTTTTTCCAACTTTTTAAATTCAGTCTATATGTGTCTTTATAGATGAAGCTTGTTTCTTGTAGACAACAGATTATTGGTTCTAGTTTCTTAAATTCATTCAGCCAGTTTATGTCTTTTATTTGGAAAGTTTAGTCCCTGTGCATTCAATGTTACTATTGATAGGTAAGGACTTACTCCTGCCATTTTATTACTTGTTTTCCGGTTGTTTTGTGGTTTTCTCTTCCTTCTTTCTTTTCTTTCTGTCTTCCTTTTAGTGAAAGTGGTATTCTTGGGTGATATATTTTAATCTCTTGGTTTTTATTTTTTGTGTATCTGTTGTATATTTTTTTGATTTGAGATTACCATAAGGCTTACAAATAATATCTTATAACCAATTATTTTAACCTTATTACAACTTACCACTGATTGCATAAACAAACAAAGAAGCAAAGAGAAAACTAATAAAAACTCTACACTTTAACTTTGCGCCGTTTTTTAACTGTTTCTGTTTCTATTTATATTTTATTGTAGTAGTGTCTATGTCTTGAAAAGCTGTTTAGTTATTATTTTGGATCAGTTCAACTTTTAGTCTCTCTACTCAAAATATGACTAGTTTATAAAGCACAATGATAGTGTTATAATATTCTGTTTTTTTGTGTGTGTGTAATTACTATCACCACTGAAGTTTGCACCTTCAGCTGATTTGTTATTGCTCATTAGCATCCTTTTCTTTCAGACTGAAGAACTCCCTTTAGCATTTCTTGTAGGTCAGTCCTGGTGTAGATGAAATTCCTCAGCTTTTGTTTGCCTGAGAAAGCCTTTCTCTTTCGTGTTTGAGGAATAATTTCACGATCTATACTATTCTAGGATAAAAGTGTTTTTGTTGTTGGTGTTGTTGCTTTTGTTTTTTCCTCCAGCACTTGAAATATATCATGCTATTCTCTCCTGGCATAAAATGTTTCCATTGAAAATTTTGCTGACAGACATGTTAGAATTCCATTGTATATTGTTTGATTTTTTTGTTTTTTTTGCTGCTTTTAGGGTCCTTTTGTTTCATCCTTAAACTTTGGGGATTTGATTATTAAATGTATTGAGGTAGTCCTACTAGAGTTAAATCTGCTTGCTATTCTGTAACCTTCGTGTACTTGAATATTGATATCTTTCCCTAGGTTTGGGAAGTACTCTGTTATTATCCCTTGGAATAAATTTCTACCCCTATCTCTTTCTCAGCCTTCTCTTTAAGGCCAATAACTGTTAGACTTTCTCCTTAGAGACTATTTTGCAGATTTTAGAAGCTTGCTTCATTGCTTTTTATTATCTATTCTTTTGTCTCCTCTGACTGTGTATTTTCAAATAATCTGTCTTCAAGCTCATTAATTCTTTCTTCTGCTTGATCTGTTCTGCTGGTAAGACATTAATGCATTCTTCAGTATGTCAGTTGCATTTTTCAACTCCAGAACTTATGCTTGAATCTTTGTAATTATTTCAATATCTTTGTTAAATTTACCTGATAGGATTCCGAATTTCTTCTTTGTATTATCTTAAATTTCATTGAATTTCAGCAAAACTGCTATTTTGTATTCTCTGCCTGAAAGGTCACATAGCTCTGTCTCTCCAGTTGGCTTCCTAGTTTTTTTGTTAAGGCCATATTTTCTTGTTTGGTCTTGATGTTTGTGGATGGGCATTGGGGTCTGGGCATAGAAGAAATAAGTATTTGGTTTATTCTTTGCAATCTGGGCTTGTTTGTATCTGTCCTTCTTTAGAAGGCTCTCCAGGTAATTGAATGAATTTGGATATTGTAAATCTAAGTTTTCAGTCTTTGTAGCTGTAACTGCTTTAGGGGCACCACAGGCCAAGTAATGCTGTGGCTCTTGCAGACTTGTAGAAATACCACCTTGGAGGTCTTAGATAAGATCTGAAAAAAATTCTCTGGATTATCAGGAAGACTTTTGTTTTCTTCCCTTATTTTCTCCCAAATGAATGGAGCATGTGTGTGTAGCTGCATGAAGCTGCTGGAGGAGTGACACAAGTACTCATGTGGCCACCACCAATAGTACTTCCCTGTGTCAGACTTGAACCCAGCATGGTAGCAGGTCTTGCCCAAGGCCCATGGTAATCAGTAACTGACCGCTGTCTATGTTCACTCAAACATTAGAGCTCTCTAATCAGCAGATGGGAAAGCCAACCAGGCTTGTGTCCTTCCCTTTGGATTGGCAAGTTTCCCTCAGCCCCAGGCAGATCCAGAGATGCCATCCAGGAGCCAAGTCCTAGAGTCAGAAACCTTAGGAAATGGCATTCTATTCTACTGCAGACTTCTATTATATACTATTCTACTTATGGCCCCCAAGCCACAAGACAACATCCTTCCTTCTCATCTCTCTCATTTCCACAAGCAGAAGAGTGATTCCCCATGGCCACTACCCCAGACCCACAGTGAATACTGCCTGGCTCTGGCTATGCCAATGTTCAGTCAAGGCCCAAAGGCTCTTCAGTCAGCTTGTGGTGAATGCTGCCAGAACTGAGATTCTCCTTCTAGGGTTATGGGCTCCTTTCTGGTTCAGGGCAGGTCCATAAATGCCATCCAAGAGCCCAGGCCTGGAATTTTCAGCCCCATGGGCACACTTGGTTCTGCAACCACTGTGGTTGAGCTCATACCTAAGCTGCAGGACTAATTCCCCTTACTCTTTCCTCTCTATTCCTCAAACAGAGGTAGTTCTTCTCTGTAACCACCACAGTTGAGAATATGCTGGGTCACACTTGAAGCCAGAGCATCTCTGAGTCTCATCTAAGGCCTATGGCAAATACTACCTGGATATTGCTGCTGACTTTTCAGAGCCCAAGGGCTTTTTAGTCACAAGTAATACATCCTGGTAGGACTGGGTTCTTCTCTTCAAGGCAGCAGGTTCCCTTATGGCCCAGGGTGGGTCTAAAGATGTCATCCAGGAGCTAGGGCCTGGAATATGGGCCTCAAGCCTTTGCCCAATGCCCTGCCCTACTGTTGCTGAGCTGGTATCCAATTTGCAAGACAAAGTCCTTCCTACTTTTCTCTCCTGAAGTAAAAAAATGAGTCTCTGTTGGAGCTGTGAACTATGCGATCTAGGTTTGGGGAAGCAGTGACACAAACACTCCTTTGACTGCCACAGCAGGTATCTTACTACATCATGTTCCTACCAAATCCCTCGGCCCTGAGCCCAGCATAACATCAATATTTGTTTAAGAATTGCAGCCCTTGTGGTCTAGATTGCCTTTCCAGTTATTTAGGACCTCAGTGCACTTTAGCCCACAGTGGCAAGGCTTGCCAGAACTCAGGCTCTTACCACTGGGATGGGTGATTCCCTTCTGGCTAGGAGTGGTCTAAATGCTCCTTCGTGGATGCCAGCTGAGTTTTGCTCCATGTTGCTTTTTGCTATGACAGACCACACTGGGTTCTAATGCAAAGTCCCACAATCACTGTGCTCTTCTTCCCCTAAATGCACAGATTCTCCCACCATGGCATGCAGTGGCCTCCAGGGGATGGAAGAGAGGTAGCAGCAGCCATTCAAGACTGTCTTTTCTACCAACTTCAGTGCCTTTTTCTGTAACATGAAACTAAAACCAAGTACTGTGATTGCTTGCCTAATTTTTGCTTCTCATGAAGGTGCTTTTTTGTATGGATAGTTGTTCAATTTGGTGTTCCTGTGGGGAGGAAAATAGTGAAGATTTCTATTCGGCCATTTTGCTCTGCCACCTCTGTGTGATTCTTTTTGTAATCAACTATCACAGAACACCTCTTGGGCAGAATATTTACATCCCTCCTATCTGCCAAATCCACATACACCCTCAAAAGCACCAAATTCTCATTGTATCATATCATCACACTCAGAATCTATATAGATCTTATAATCTATATTAGGTCTGGATGTTGATACTTGGCTGCAGTTTGTTTTAATCTGAAAAACTATGAAGAAAAAAAAGAAAAGTTATCTGTTTCCCCTTTCCAAATGCCTAGCATGTAATGATGGCACACAGATTAACAGCTATGGACCCTCCCATTTGAAAAGAGGAGGAATGGGAGGCACATAGCAATCTCTGACAATTCTGAATTCAGGTTTGCTAGACTTGCTATTGAGATTGTTTATATTCCTTAATTAGGTAGGTTCTAGCTCTGCAACTTGAGAATATATCTCTAGTCCGCTGTTCTCCATTTTGACTTGGTTTTATAAAATGTTCTTTCTTTTCTATTGTTCTATTTGGCCACTTTAAAAAAAATATGTTTTTAAAGAAACAGCGTCTCACTCTGTCAACCAGGCCAGAATACAGTGGTGCAATCATAGCTCCCCGCAACCTGGAATTCTTGAGCTCTAGTCCTATCTCATCCTCCCAAATAGCTGGGACTAGGTGCACAACACCATGCCTGACTCTATTTGGACTTTTCTGAAACGAGAATAGTATGCATGTCTTTTGAACTACTTCTGTCTTCTTAGTCTAATTCATGCTATTTCAAGGTGAGATCACAATGGCCTTTTTGCATTTAAAACAATCTCAGTTACTTTTAGGCCATGCTGCTGGTACATTTACTGATTATAATAGTTTATTTAACAAAATTGCCAGGACTAACACACATTATTCTTATTCAAGGCAGGTCTTTATACTCAAGCAATCCAGTGCTACTATGGACATGTCAGTCTACTGTAAGACAAAACCACAATGATTCCTAGAATCCCTTTTTTCCACTTGAAAATATGCCCTATAAAGTGCCTTCATTTTTTCAGTGGCCTTTCAAAGTGTGTCACAGCAGACAATGTGATTGGATCTTTACCCTGATGACATACTTTGGCAATCTTTTTATGGCTTAAGAATCTAGGTATATTACATAGTTTTATTTTCTAACTGTCAAGCTCTGTCCCCTTTTTATTTCCTCCACTTTTTGCTTGTCAATGCTGGGCCAGATAGCTTTTCATCTCAGCTCTTTCTTGTAGTACCTTAAGTGCAACAAAGAAGTACCACTGACACATTCATCATTCTTCCTGGAAATCTCATAACTTGAGGTGTGGGTATAGTGTAGTCCAATTTAACAATTATTTCTTTCATGGACTGAATTGTAAATCATGTTTACATGGGCCTTTTCCAAACTCAGCTTATTAGGAAATGTCCCTATGTCTTCTAGTACGTTTATGGCTTTATTTTTTGCTTTTAAATATTTGATCAACTTGGCACCTTTTTAGTGTATAGTATGAGGAGTCTCCTTCTCTTTCTTCGTTCCTCCTCTTTCTCCTCCTCGTCCTCATCCTCCTCTTCCTGCTCCTCTTCTTCTTCCTCCTTCTCCTGCCCTTCCTGCTCCTGTTCCTCCTCCTCCTTCTAGGTGGCTGCAGTTGTCAGAACATCATTTCTTAGTTTACATTTTCTCCCTGATTTGAGATGGCTCCAGAACAACTAAAAGCACATACTCTTGCAAACTATTTTGGGACTTTCTCTTCTGTTCTATTCATCTCTCTTTCTAGGTATGCTCTATAACACATTGCTTTAATGTTGATGCTTTATAATATGTTTAGTATCTGGTAGGCCTAGTTTCCACTCTTGGCACTTCTTCATTAGAGTTTCCTCCTTTATGTTTGTATGCTTATTATTTTGTGTGATTTTATATTAAAAAACTCCCCTAGTTTATAAAAATGATATTTTGTAGATGAATTCATTTGTAGACAATTGAAATCATTATAACATCAAATAACACAATATAGTTTTGCATTTGTAAGAGCATCATTTGTTCCCACGAGAGGTTTTTTAAATTATTCTTTATATATATATTAGGTATTTCCTGTTTAATATAATTGCCAGGTATATTTAACTTTTGTTTTTACCATAGATTATTTTGCATAGTTAGACATTCCAAATTATAATTTACTATATAATGAACACTAATTATTTCTGTTTATAAGTTTGGTTGCTTGAAATATTACTGATTTATCTTATTGTTTGGGTTTGATTTTAGTTTCTTCCAGCGTGTTTTATAGATACGTCATCTTATTGTCTGCAAACATAGATAATCCTATTTTCTTTTTTTATTCTGCCTGCTGTACCCCATACAAACAATTTACTTACCTTTTCTAGTTGTTTTTATTTGAACTCAGGTACAAAGTTTAACCTCTTAAAAGGGGAACTGAGATTGTGATAGATCTTTTTTATTATCTTAAGAAAATATCTATTTTATATTTTCTTAAATTTTCATTTTCAAAATATCTGTTCGATTTAGTCAAATAATTTTTATTACATAAAAATTCTATAATATTTTTTCTAGAAATATTGGTTCAATAAATTATATAAATCAATTTAATAATGTTGAAACATTCTTGAATTCCTAGAATAAATCCAACTCAGTCATGTTGCATTTATTTCTTTAAACAAGTTGTTAAAATATGTTTATTTATGATGTTTAGATCAATGTGCATAAACAATATTGTGATTTTATTTTATGTAAAATTATTGTCACCTCTTGGTATTAATATATACTCAATAGATAATATAAATTTGAAAACTGTTTTTTATGCACTTTGGAGATATTTACATAGCATTGCAATTATCTGCTTTTTAGCAATTTGCTGAAGTTACCCCTAAAAAACTCAGAGGCCTCCTAAGGCTTTGATTCAATTTGTTTCATTCACTTTCATTGTTATTTCATTGTTTGGGAGCAATATTCCCATGGATATCATTATACACAGATTTTATCTTCTTCTGGGGTCAGTTTGAATATTTTTCTGAAAATTTCTTAAACAGGTTTGCACAATTACTTGCATATTTTAAAGCAAGTCTATTTTATTTAATTCTTATAATTTTCCATTTACATGACAATTTCTCTATTATTTTATATTTCATATGTATATCCGTATTTTTTTCTCTTTTTTCTTTGATTAGGTTAGGTAGAGATTCTGCTGGTTGGTTAACATTTTTCAAATAACTATTTTTGACATTTGTATGTGAATTAAAATATTCTGCATTTCAACTCATTGGTTTGTGTTTAGAATGTTTGTATGTCTGCAATTTCTGCTTTACTAATGTTGCTGTTGTATTATCCTGCGCAAAGATATGCAAAACTTTTATCTTCAATGTAAATTGTGTACTTCACTCTCAGCAAGTGTTATTTTATCAGATGCAGTAGTTTTTGATATTAAGGTCACAATCCTGCTTTTTGTTTTCATTTGCAAGGAGCACATTTTCCCATCATATTAATTCTCAGCTTTATGAATCACTTTTTACATACATCCCTTTTATAAAGCATAGATCCAAAGTAAAGATATTTTTAAAAGATGAGTTAACTCTGTTAACGTTTATTCATAACACATTACTGTTATAAGGTTTTGTCATAATTTTGTTATATTTTTTGTTAACCTGTTTTTAATAACTCACTATACAATTTGTTTTCTTTGTTCCTGTGGGTAGTTCTGATATTAACAAAACATTTGCATTTTTATTCTACTAACTTTTTTAATTAAAATTTTACATATCACTCTTTTTAAAAGACATTTTCTATTAGTTTCTTATTGTTAATAAACTAAAAATTAGCAAAACTTTATCCTTCTTGTCTACTTTCTAAATTTTCATTTGATAATATTACCATTCTTACTGTCCCTTTTTATAGCTTCCTCTTAAATTGTGTAGTCTGCATGAGTTCTTTTTTGGCCTTGCCTTCCACATCACTCTGAATCTTAATATTTAATACAGAATTGTGCTCATCAGTGTTACTGAAATTACTGAACTTTTGCATCATTATGTGTAGCACAATTGCTCCAGCAAGAAGAATAATTTTGCCTTTCAGTGTGAGCCCCTCACCTTCAAAAAGGATACCTTTGCTGATACTTTCTGGTATCTGATGCCTTTCACTGCCTCACTGCATTTATTTGATTAAATGTCTTCTCTCATTCAAAATGGAGTTTGTGTGGGTGATTCCAGAATGAGACATGGAGCATGATTCTTGCCAGAAGTGCTACATAATTCTTGAAAGTAGACATCAGAAGTACTTTTATCCAATTTTAATTGTGAAGGAAAAATAATGAAGGATATATATATATATACACACACACACACATATGTATATATGTCAGAATATATCTGTTAATATCAAACTATCCATAAGAACAAAAAAACAAATTTTGTGTGTGTTTATGTGTGTGTATATGTATATATATACCTGGGTGGCAGTTATGCAGCTACCACACTAGAGGGCTAGAACTCAAAAGCAATACCTTTTTTTCCATAATCAGAGAGGTTGTCCTGAAAGATGCTCTGATTAAATAAGATTATCTCTCAGCTATCCCGTATACTTATGTTCTATTAATATTAATCATGTTATGTACCAAAGTGGGTTTATTTGCCCACACAACAAAAAGCCAAACACCAAAGCACTGGGTGTTTGTAGAGAGAAAGTTTTATTGTAAGTCAATTGGCAAAGGAGACATGTAGCAGTGCTCAAATTGGTCTCCTTGGGCTGGTAGATGGGGCTGATTTTATAGGCAGAGGGGATAAGAGGCATGATCTGATTGGATCTTGCAATGAAATGATGCTAGGAGGTGTGATACCAGGGCTCTATCTGATTGGATTATGGGTCCATGGATCATGCCATGAGGGGCTTACTTTTTAGTTCAGTCCCCATTCCTTGGTCTAAGCATTTAGGTTTTGCCCATAGTTGCACACTTGGTTCATCTGGGCATGCTCTTGTTATGTAATTGCAACTTGGGTTCTATGGCAACTGGAAAACAATTCAATTTTTTATTACACAAAGTTAAGCTAGATTGAGCTGGTCCTGTCATTACAATAAAAAATAAGTATTGGTAAGGACAAACCATTGCCAAAAATGTGATACTTAGACATGTTTGTTTTTTAACTTTTCAATACTAATTAAGGTTTTATTTATTGAGTTTATTTGTCTAAAACATGGGTAAATCTCTAGTTTATCCCCTTCTTCTTTGGTTTGGAGAAATCCAAAGCTCTGCTTAGTTAGTCACATGTATTTGATTGATGACATTCTATAATACATATTAATAATATTGTGTTGGCTGGGCGCGGTGGCTCATGGCTGTAATCCCAGCACTTTGGGAGGCCAAGGTGGGCGGATCACCTTAGGTTGGGAGTTCGAGACCAGCATGACCAGCATGGAGAAACCCCGTCTCTACTAAAAATACAAAATTAGCCGGGCTTGGTGGCACATGTGTGTAATCCCAATACCTGGGGGGCTGAGGCAGGAGAATTGCTTGAATGGGGGAGGCAGAGGTTGAAGTCAGCTAAGATCGCACCATCGCACTCCAGTCTGGGCAATAAGAGTGAAACGCTGTCTCAAAAAGAAAAAAAAAATTGTGTTAACGGTGCCTCACAGTGTCTATGGACTATTCAATTATTCTCTCCATTTTGAGCAACTATGATTGTGCTTCCAGTGATTTGCTGAAAGAAATTGGACAAAAAAGGAAACAGTCATGCTAAAAAATGAGTTTCAGTTTTGTGTTTAGTACAGTGGTATTAATACTTTAATTAGTGCTAGGTAGTGTGATAACCTGACGATTGGGTTAGGAAAACAGATATCGAATGAAGACTCAAAAAAATGTAGAACCCAAGCAGGATGCATAAAGAGAAATAAGATTTTGTGCTTTGAAAATTTTATTTTGCAACTTCACAGCTGATAAATGATAATCTGTTTAGAGGAAAAACTCTAAAAACAAACAGGCCAAGAATGGGCAAATTCTATGCTTACATGCCATATGTCTTCTCCATGTGTTTCTGTGTTTCAACATAACAGAACAGAAAAAGAATAAAAACTATAAACATTTTTGACTTTCTCAAAAAGTTTTCCCCTGAGAATGAAATGACAAATATGACAGATTATTTGAAGACTGTGGGATAGAACCATTTACATTCTACTTTGAATCACTGAACAGACTACATTAAGACACCTGAGAACGTATAGAACAATCCTAGGATAAAATAAATAAGGGATTGGATTTGAGTAGCATTATATAAAAGTAAAATAAAAAATATTCTTCTTTCTGCAGGTTGAGTAATGATTTGGGGAGTCATAATTTCACATAAATAATTTGTGTCTAAAATTCATATACTGTCCATTATCCTAAGTTGCAGATCACTGATTTAAAATTAGAATGTGACATTTTAAATAACATCCCAAAGATGTTATAGTAAGTAAACTAATATGTCTTTATTAGTCCTTGAGAATCAATTTCAAAAGCCTTTAGATTCTGATGAAAATTATGCAAATTCCAGCATACTGTCATCCTTATAGTTTATGTTAATTTGACATTAATGTTAGCTGCCTATCACACCAACAATAATCTATCTGAACTAGCAGGCTGGAATACCAATTACTGAAATGAGTGGAGCTCATCCTTGAAGTTTCTTCTTTCTGTTGCAAGTAGACATATGTCAGCACACAGGGAATAGCACAGATGTATCAAAGTCTTTCAAGTAACCAGACATCTTTCTGTAATGGAGAAGGCTGTGGTTGACATACTAAATCTTAAAAAGAAAGAGAAGTCACTTTGTATTGAGAATAAAAAGAGCCGAAAGAGAAAAAATGATGTGAAGATATTCTTACATATTTAGAGTCATTATTAGAGAATGTTGGCCAAGTAGAATCTCTAGTTTTGAAATCTTTATTTTACAATGAATTACTATGTATCTTTTTCAATTTTCTTGTCAAGAATTCATGATATTAATTGATTTTTTCAAATGAGGGCTTTCTTTTCCTCCCTTTTGATTCTGGCTGCTGACGTGAATTACCTCAATTTGACTTACAATGAAAGTAAAAATTTTAAAAAAAGAAAATGACTTTTGCCATTCAAGGCACATTGTTATTTGTCTTCAAAGAAGGAGTATGCTGGAATCTATGAATTTTTGTGCATGTATTTTCTTATAGTGATGGTATTTTTTTATGTTAGACTTAAGTTGAATAACGGGAAAGTCCCTGAATAATTCCCTCGAGTTTTCTCCCTTCTTGTACTGTGGGAAATATCATTACAAATGATTCCAAGAATATATGCCAAATACTTATCTTTTTGTAATTATTTTAATACTCATAATGTGATAGTTAAAAGGTTACTTAAACAAAATATCCATTTGATGTAGTTACACATTATGTTGCACCATTAGCTAAGTTTTTATGTGCATGTTTATTTTCATTTGCTTTGTTTTTCCAAATAGTCTATAAAGGTCTTAAGATTTAAGAAAAGGTCTAATTCCTTTTGTTCTCTTCACAGTGCTGGAGAAAATAAAAATTCAAGATTTTCTATACTAACTGTGACACAATTATATATGTTAGCAAGAAACAATTATTATAACTCACCTGACTCATTAACCCAGAAAGTACAGTAACACATTGACAAATGTTATCATGAATGTATATAGTGAGTGAATATTTAGGACAGACATAAAAAGATTAAAATGACAGATTAGGGGAGACCGTTCAAGTATTTGGAATGAAGAATTGATCTTGTTATAATTAAAGATTAACAAGAAGCTACCCATTAGGAAAATATGTACCAAGATGGTACAAAGACTCCAAGGGTAAGGAATATTCTTGACACCACAGTCATTTTTCTCCCTAGGATTGAGTTGTATGAAGGTTCACAGTGATTGCACAAGTGTTAATTTAAAATCTATTTGTAATATATTTGGATATAGAGAATCAAGAGAGTCATAAAGCAAACATCCGTATAACTTTCATCTAGCAAAACAACTATTTACATTTGCCACATTGCTTAAAATACATTTTACTGAAGTATTTTAACATAATTGCAGACATAATGATAATTCATCTCTAAGTATTTTAGTATGCATCACTAAAACTAAGGACATTTTTCTATATAGCAACAATGCCATTTGCTCAGCTAGCAAGACAAGTAATAATTCTTAAGATTATCTAATACCTTACCCATACCCAAATTTCAGAATGAAGAGTTTAGGGTCATTGCATTTCAGTGTATAATATGAAAAGCTGTGTCCAACCATTTTTCTCCACTTATAAAGAAAGCAAGCCAGCCAGGCACGGTGGCTCATGCCTGCAATCCTGGCATTTTGGGAGGCCGAGGTGGGAAGATCACTTGAGGCCAGGAGTTCAAGACCAGCATGGCCAACATAGCAATGGGTATCTCTACTAAATCTCTACTAAAAATAAGAAATTTAGCTGGGCATGGTCGTGCACAACTGTGATCTCAGCTAATCGGGAAGCTAAGGTATAAGAATCGCTTGAATCTGGGAGGCAGAGGTTGCAGTGAGCCGAGATCACACCGCTGCACTCCAACCTGAGTGACAGAGCAAGATTCTGTCTCAAAAAAAGGAAAGAAAGAATGAAAGTGAGAAAGAAAGAAAGAACAAAAGAAAGAAAGAAAGAAGGAAAGAAAGAAGGAAAGAAAGAAAGAAAAAGAAAGAAAGGAAGGAAGAAAGAAAGAAAGAAAAGAAATGAAGTCTGTGTTTTCGATGGATGGCTCTGAAATGCTCCCTCAAAGCCGTGATTTGGTAAGTAGAGATGAAAAGACTTAGACTGAAATCTATGTTGACATAAATGCACCTGACACCTTCAGTGATGTCAGAAAATAAGCTGTGGCCGCTACTGCCCAGCTCTGGGGCTTGCAACATGGCCAGATGATCTCTGCTGACATTCACTCCCTCTGTGTATTTGTACAGTGGCAGAAAATTTAATTCCTTTGCCAGATAATAAGTCCAAACACACATCTGCATAGGATAGTGACATATGAGAGACTTAGGACAACTTGCACTTACTGGGCTTCTGCCTGTAAGTTCCTCTGATATATTGTCTTGAAACACACATTTTCTGTCTTTTGACATTCATGTATGACTGTTTCACAGTGGTTAGGTCTATGCAAATATGCCCCAAAGTCTGAGAAACCTGAGAGGTTGAATAAAAAAGCTGAAAAATTTGGTTTTTTGCAAACATTTAATAGAGACAAACAGAAGCCATATCTGTGTCTCTTGCAGAGGTGGGACAAGATGGTAGATCCCTGTGCCCATATCCCCCAGACTCAGGGCTTATATATCTTGTAAAATGGAGTGATTCAGAAGGGATTTGTAGGACAATTGAAGTATGATAACATCAAGGTTGTTTGATCTAAGAGGAGTATTTTTCGCAAATACCTGCTCTTAGACAAGGAGCAATAGATAAACTGGAAATTTTAGAGGAACAGGGGCTAATCAGAAGCCAATAGGGCAGATTAGCATCCAAGATGGGATTGCTTTGGCCTCTACAATGACTATTGCTCAAATATTTAATATCAGTAGGAGTGGAGATAGGGAGAAGAAGTGTAGAAATGAACACACACCAGCTGTTATTGGAGGTATTTCCAGGGATATATGCTGTAACTGTAGGATTGAAAAAGTTATTGCTATTTCTACAGAGTGTCTTAGGAATAAAATAAAGAAGCATGGATTTTTCAATCATACAATGATTTCAAATGACAAGACAATAAAAGCAAACTTTCCAAGTGCTCAGATCATATCCAGATATACTAGCCACAATCAAAGTGGTTTTGATTATAATATAAAAATATTACAAGAGAGATGTATAGGAATTAATGTGCAATTGATCTTTATGGTTCCCTTGGAAAACAAAGAAGGTTTGATGGAAAGAAGATTCTGGACACTATTTTTGGCTTCCTGAATAAATGTAAATTTCTTAAAGATATGCTCAGAGACAGCCTAATGAACTCATCTTCCTTTGTCCTTTCTCTAAGTAACTGGCATATTCCAACTTCCTGAAAAAGATGCATGGGGAAGGAAAAAGATATAAACATCAATGTTATCCATACCATTATTTAAATTACATCATTTCTGTAGAAGAAAGAAGAAAATGTGGCTGCTCTTCCAAGATATTTTGGCTGTGTCATTTGGGTTCTTCTGAGATTACATTTGCCTCTGCCTATTTGCATTACAATGGGATAGGTTTATGGGGAGCATTACAGTACATACAAGTTGTTCATAAATAATTAGTTCCAGAATCACAACGTAACAATTTTCTGTATTGCTCCAATTCTTGCCATCTGGCAATTTATTACTCACTACACCCTTCTAACACACTACTTCCATTTTCTTGGGTTCAGTTACCAGTCTGGTAGCCCAGTGGCTATCTTTTTTACCCCTGACCTTTGGGTGTACACCCTGGACCACACATATAGCTCTTCTTTCTTCACTGCTTTTCATGTATGTAGAATGATCACAGGACTGATTTCAACTTTGTAAGACCTGCTTGAGTAATTTTTAACATATTTATTCAGTCGACCGGAGGTTGAGGTTTGGATGCTACTCCTGTGAATTCATGAGCTACAATGTCCCCATACATGTTATATCATATTTTCATATTGTTTTGCCCATACTTTTGCCATCTACATTATCTGTGAGTTTTACAACGTTAGGTACAAATCGGATAAATAGGGAATGTTCCCACTCACTGTTCAGCCTTGATATGTAATCTGATTAGTTGGTATGAATAATATATTTTATTGATATGATACAGTTTGGATTTATATTTATACCTTATTTAGTTCCAATAATAAATAAAAATAGTTTACAAGAAACTTGAAAAATAAGACAAGATAAAACAAATTAAAAATAAGAGAAAAATTTAATGAACTTAATACCTATGATATGGGCACTTACATGTTATTATTTAATAAGCAGTATATATAAATAAGGAAAAAAGGTCAACCAATTAAATTTAACAAAAATTGGAATTGTTTGTGAGTAAGGGAGACTTACCACATGAAAATATATTACAATATATCTCCACATTTAACAAGTAGCATATTTCAGTTAGGTGGTTATCAGCTATACATATTTATCACGTGGTCAGGACAAATTTTTTACTGCAACTGCCCAGTTGATCCCTTCAGGACTGTAGTAAGCAGAATTCTAAGATGGCCCATGATCTCCATATCTTGGTGTTGTGCTCATGAATATAATACATTACATGGCAAAGGGAATTTGCAGATGTAATTAATGTTACTAATCAGTTGACTTGCTATTTGGAAATTATCTGGGTGGACCTAACCTAACAACATGAACCCTATGAAAGTAGATTTTTTTTTCTGACTGAGTGCATGTCCAGAAGTCAGAGAGGTCCTATGTGATTTGATGAAACATTGCTGGCTTGAAATGGAGAGGGACAAGTGGCAAAGAATGTGAACATGCTTTAGGATCTGAGAATGGTCCCTATCTAAACAGAAACCTTTATCTTATAGCCACAAGAAATTGGATACGTCCAACACTGAAAGTGCTTGGAAGTGGAGTCTTCTTCAGATGCTTCAAGCAAGAGCCCAGTCCATTTGACTTTGATTTTGGTCTTGTGAGACCCTCCACAGAGAATCCAGTTAAGCCTGCCTGTACTTCTGACCTGTGGAACTGAGAGATAAGAAGTGGGTTGTTTTAAGTCACTAAGTTCATGGTGATTTGTTTTACAGCAAAAGAAGAGTAATACACATTGAAACACACCCATTTGTCCATCTCTTCGTGTTGTTAGAGGCTAATGGCTTCAAGCAGAGCCCTCTATCGAAATTACCTTTGCCCACGGAGACCTGGCTTGACTATGGTAATGCCCTTTCCTGCAGGGTTACCCCCATGCAGCATTTGGTTGATGGAAGGTACAAAAGTGCAGTCCCTTGTCTCATGTAAGATACTCTGAAGGGCCATCTTAGATTCAACGCTCCCTGTGAATTGATCTGAGATGTCTATTACAGTGCATCACAAATCAACTTCTATTTCTCTCCAACCTTCCCCTCTCCCCACTTTGTGGTTGTTTGCAAGGACAGGCTCCATAAACTACTTCTACCCTAAAACTCCTTGTCAGGATCTGTTTCCAAAGGATATAGCCTATGACATCTTATATTCAGTAGAATGAGAGAGATGAAAATTATAACAATGTTTTAATTTATTTAATCTAGTGTCAAGTCTATGATAGACACACACACACACACTTTTTATAAACTCTGAGACAAATGAATGGTGTTTCTAAATGTTGTGATTGTTTCAGAGAAAGTTAATAACATCTGTATCATGTTTAGTCTTCCTCTTTTTGGGATAGAAGTCGTATATGTTAACATAACACATGGTCATCTAGCTATTGTTTACATTTCTCTGCCTTCCATGTAACTGGATTCAGCCATGTGTCTATCTTGTCAACAAAGGAATATAAACAGAATTGATATAGGTTATCAACATGTTACATGCTTGAAGGAAAATTGCTCATTCTCCATTTCCTCTCCTTACCCCTTACATTACCAGGAAATGCTAATAAATGCAACAAATTCAGAAGTTATATATAAAGGACAGCAGCACCACTCTGCCACTTGAAGCACTCAATAGAGCCTGTTATTTGAGAGAATAATACATTTTTCGTCATATAAATCCACTGTATTTTGGGGGTCTCTATTGACAGAAACTTTACCTGTACTTCTTCTTACAGTGCTAAAGGTAGGACTTTTTGAAGAAAAAGTTTTTGCCCTCTATTCTTTAATATGTCTTAATCAATGAAATTATGCCAAGTATGTAATTTAAATAGATATGACTCCTATTCTGAACAAATGGCCTGAAAATACAACAAATTTGCTAAGTCAATTATTTCTACTTGTCCATAAAGGTCCAAGTAGCACTCTGTAAATCAAACATGTACAAGAATCGAGGACTCTACTAGACAAAATATGTACTAACATGGACATTTAGGCATATCTACAGCTTCCATCATGTTTTGATAATGTGAATGTATATTGGACTGCTGCTGTCCATGTTCACTGGTTACATTAAGACTGTGGGGGTAATAATTGTGGAGGGAAGGTCTATCTTAAAATATGTATGGAAGATGGAGCTCTAATGATATGGAGAACAGATAAAGCATTTGCAGGTTTGACTTAACACCAAGAAAGAGTGTAAGAAGCTTTAGAAGGTGATAGAGCAAAGACAGTTTTATGCAATAATAGAACATTTTGTAAAACACATAGTTGCTACATTTTACCTATATGTTTTTCATAATAAAATCTTTTGTGGTGTATTTGACACTATTATTGCTTTTGCTTTTGAATTGTGTGTGTGTGTGTGTGTGTGTGTGTGTGTGTGTGTGTTTATGAATACATTTAGGGTGGATCAGGAAATGTGTGACAATCTTGTTTTATTCCACAGTTAGAAATTATACTACAAAATTGTTCCCAAAAAGGAACAAAGCCAGCATATATTCAAAGGAAAGTAAAGTAGAGTGAATCACTGGAAATCTTAAACAAATAAGAATAGGTTAAGTATAAAACCAACCAAGGAAGATGTAGTGGTTCTTGGGTTTAGGTGGCAGGAGTTTAATTCCTTCATATCTACATGCTATTAAATGTGATTTTGCTGCAAGTTGTTTTGATCATTGCCTATTCCAAGTGTTTCACTGGAAATCCATTAGTAACTAAATGATTGGATTTTTTCCCCAATATAAATATGATTCTTTTATTCATTTTGAAGTTGCCAGAAGAGGTATTCTACTCAAATTATGAGAAAATCATTTCAGCCCAAGTGAGTCAAGAAGGGAAAGGCCAAGAAGAAAAAGCAAGAAGGGAAACCAAGTCAGCCCAAGTGGAAAAGGCAGGAAGGGAAAGCAAAGATAATATTGATAACCTCATTAATCCTCAAAAATAAATCTGGGCATATTCCTAAAAGATCATCTCATTCATTTAATATTGATGATTTTCCACCTTTCTCTTTTGGAGAAAGATGACACCCTAAGTACAACATCAGTAGGGAACAGTATTGTATTCTATTCTTGGTTCTATTGCTAAGAATAATTGCTCCCATTTATTGAGAACCTACTATATGCCAGACTTTGTTTTGGCTCCTCTTTTATTTGTCACAAACAGCATCATGATGTATTTATCATTGAAATCATTTTATGGTTTATAAATACAGGTAAAAATAGGTTGAACCAGTTGAGAAAATTCACACAACTAAAGAAATGACAAGGATGATATTTAAATCCAGATCTTCTCAACTCCAGCACTATTCTACCCTATTTTATTTTGGATGAAACTGCCCTTTCCTTTAATTTGTTACCACAAAATACTGCCTTATAAATACCTTCTGTTTGGATAATTAATTGGTTATGACCTGCATTACATGACATGCCAAAACTGGATGGGAGGAAGTCTTGCACACTGCATTCTGGGAAAATTCCAGTTATTCTCTTTAAATATGAGCTTTGCATTACATAGTAACTATTTCTCAAAAGGTTTAAAGCAGTGATTTTGGAGCTTATTTATTTCAACTAGAATGGTCACTCAAATATTAGCAACACACATATGATGAGGGGCTGTCTACATCCTCACAGACAATGTCACTTATTTATAAAAGAATCAATGTTTATGGAAGCTGTTAATGAAAAGTCAGTTTGATAAAAAATAAAATAGGGTAAAATAGTGAGACAGTTCTATTTGGTTATAAATATTCTCACTCAGCTCTAATAAACTTTTTAAAAGTGATAAAAGGCTTTAATTTTTTTAAAGAAAGCTCGAGATTTACAGTTCTACTGTTGGCAGAATGATACCTGGTTGATAAACAAACTGAGATTTTCAGTATCTAAAATTTCACATCTCACATTCTACTCTTCCTTGCCTTTACATCAAGTTCAAGCAACTTTTATTTTTAAAATATCCCCCACATTCCCCCTCCTACAGCTCTTCTCACATTTCAGCCCACTCCTTATCTCACTCTCTCTGCTTTATGGAAGTGTATTTTTATTGTGTTTTTCCACTGTCAAAAGTGAGCATTCTCACTTCATTAACTCATTTTCACTGATGATTCATTTACATGTTTGCCCCAATAATGACTTTCTCTCATAAACCTCTTCTCAAACATCTGAATCATTGTGACACTTTGGACTACTCCAAAACATTAAAACACTGTATCTTTCATAGTGACCCTAAATTGCACCCAATATTAAACTCCATTTGTAATTGAATATGATAATATTTTCTTAATAACAATGCTTAGTGAGTTAATAATTATAAAGTGTATGATCTATATTTCTTAGAATCTTTGTAATTTGCTTATGTAAAATGGAGGTTAAATCATTAACCTTGGTGTTTACCTCGAGTTTGTAAATGGACTGGCTTAGGTTGTGAAGAGAATCAAATGAGATAATGTAGATGAAAGTTATTTGTGAAGTGTATAATTCTCTGTGTATGGTATTAATAATAACTTCAAATACTTAGTCAGGTTTTCTAAACGAAATATTCTTCACAAAATAGCAAAAAATTCAAAGAGAAAAGCTAATTTCAGTCCCAGCATAGCTGTGAATTTTCTTGTTCTCAGAAGCATGCTTGACTTTCTTTTCATTCATGAAACTCTTTTATTCAGTTTCCTGATATGCTGCTGCTAATTTATAGCTGCTCAAAAGATTACTCCTCCAGTACACTAGCTAGATCTTCTTTCCCCATTCACCTAGCCAGATAAATAGATTGATAGATGAATAGATAGGTAGACAGACAGATATAATTCATACCTAACTATAAGGTTATAAATTGACATCATTTGCATTCCACTAATTAAACCTAATTGTACTTTCTATAGTGATTGGTTTTTTTATATTGGCATTTTGGTTAAATAGAATTTTGTTAGCTGAGCTCTAAGTCAGATACTTAAGAAGGCGTCTTGCCTAGAACCATCAAATCCTACCAGCTTGGTATTTTTTCACTCAAATATGGCTTTCTCATGACTGCCAATCCAATAAGGAGACCAATGTAATTTTCTTAAATGTGGATATACATATATATATATATATATATATATATCGTGAAAAATGAATAAGGTGTAGTTTATGAGATATCTTTTAAAGGAAGGTATTGTGGGAAAGTTCATGCATAGAAAAGACTGAATGAAAATTTACCTTAAATAGACCTGGCAAATACTTTGAACATTCTTATCAGATTATCACTTAACTCTTTTCACTTAGTTTCTTAAAATTGACATTTAAGTTAAGTGGTGATATACTAATTTAGACTTCATAGAAATATTTGTTTTTAAAATTACGTATTGCCATGTTTTGGAAACGTATTGTAACCAGCACGCATCTGGCTGTGTGTCACTCAGAGGTTGAAAACAAAAGAACAGAGGTTTGGTGAAAGGAAAGCACTTCTATTAATCAAATGCTAGCAGATGGGCAATGGCATGGTTCATGCCTTTAGGAGACAATTCCAACGTTTTGGGCTGAGTGAAGGGGTTTAAGAAAGAAAAGATGTGGGAACTATGGGGAGTGGTGCAGGGAGGTGAAGGTCTGTGAGCCTGTTCCGATAGTTATCTTCAGTAATCACCCAGAGGAGGTGTGTTTTGTGTCATCCTGACTTTGGCCCAGCATTGGTGGGCTATTGTTTGTACTTTCCCTAAGTAGGAAAATTCTGCAGCTGGATCTCTCTGCTTGGGTTGTTGGAAATTGACTCCTGGGATTTCTAAACAAGCACATAATTAGATAAGCAAACACCGTTCACCCAAATTCCTGGCAGGAAAGAGATAAACAAATAGTTTCAAAGTGTGTTTCAAGGCTGATATCTAGAAAGCAAAAAAAAAAAAAAAAAGTTTTAAAATGCATTCTGAGGCTGATTTACTTCGCTATAATATCATAGTCACTTGCATTACTCCATTTTCACACTATATAAAGAAATATCCGGGATTGGGTAATTTATAAAGAAAAGAGGTTTAATTGGCTCATGGTTCTGGAGGCTATGCAAGAAGAAGAGCAGGGGAGGCCTCAGGAGACTTACAATTATGGCAGAAGGTGAAGGGGAATCAGGCACATTATACATGGCCAGAGCAGGAGGAAGAGAGAGAGAGAAGGGAGGTACCACACACTTTTAAACAACTTGGTCTCACTCATTTTATGGTGAGTGAATCCCATGGTACTAAACCAGCCATCCCAACTGTTTCGGCACCAGGGATCAATTTTGAGGAAGACAATTTTTCCACACGAGAGCGGTGGGGTCGGGATGGTTTCAGGATGAAACCGTTCTACCTCAGGTCATCAGGCATTAGATTCTCTTAAGGAGTGCACAACCTACATCCCTCGCATGCACAGTTCACAATAGGGTGTGCGTTCCTATGAGAATCTAATGCCACCACTGATCTGACAGGAGGCAGAGCTCAGGAGGTAAGGCTCACTTGCCCATAGTTCATCTCCCACTGTGTGCCCAGTTCCTAACAGGCAAGGGACTGGTACCCATCTGTGGCACAGGGGTTGAGGACCCCTGTACTAAGCCATTCAGGAGAACTCCACTCCATGATCCAATCACCTCCTACCAGGCCCTACCTCCAACACTGGGGATGACAATTCTACATGAGATTTGGGCAAAGACACAGACCCAGACCATATCAGTGCTGTAATTTAATTCACCTAATATTTGCACAATATTTAAAAAACTGTATGAGGACAGTACTGAAAATGGCTGTATTGTCTTTCTTTGATTTTGAGTTGGTTTACTGTGAGATGAGGGCACCGTAATTTGTCTAAGATGCCCTTTCTCAGTGCTCTACTAAGTTAAATTGCCTTGTAATATAAATAAGTTGGAGTAACCAACATCACAATCATTTGAGAAGTGCATTTGATTTATTCGTGCAATAAAGATTTACTTAGCCCCTTTTATTTATAAGGGATTGTTTGTGCTAGAAAATAACAAAAAGGTAAGCTTTGTAATATTCATCTTTTTTTCCCTCATATATATTGTATTATCCTGTCTGACATTCAATAAATGCTTAAATGAATGAGGAAATATGTTTAAATTAGTGAAACATTAAGTAAATACAGTATTAATTATTAAAATGCAGCTGAATTTGTAACATTTTGAGCACATAGAGTAGAAGAAAGTCATAAACAAATAATTGCAACACAGAGTGGTATACTGTATTAAGTGAATGTGCAGGTGGTAGTAAGAGTGCTGAGTAAATAAAGGCAACAATTTGGAATTGAGGAGGGAATCCTAATACTAAGTTGTATTGCAGGTAACAGAGGCAAAAAATCATGAATATTTTATGTGAGAATTTTATTTATGTCTCACACATGTAAAAGTCTAGAGATGGCAGTCTAGTGCTAATACGTAGGTTCTGGCTCACAGGGCTCTCAGAGTCCCAGGCTTATTCCAACTCTTCATTGTAGGAAACAGTGCTTCCCTTCACTGCAGGTCATTGCTAGAGTACCAACCATTTCATTTTTGTTGTCACCATCATATTGAAGTTTCAGCCATCAAGAAGGCTGAAGCTTCAGTGAAAGAGAACAAGGGGCGTGCATCAATCATCCTCTAAGAAAGGCTTCCCAAAGCTTCCATGAAGTGCATATGATTTATTCATGCAATAAAGATTTACTTAGCACCTTTTATTTATAAGAGATTGTGTGTACTAGACAATAATAAAAAGGTAATTGTTGTAATATTCATCTTTTTATACCTCATGTGTATTGTATTACCATGTCTAACATTTAATAAATGCTTAAATGAATAAAGAAAAATGTGACATGTTAACTTACGTTTTATTTCCTCAAACTTCATGTATGATCTACAAGTGACTTCAAGGATGTCTAGTAGGAAATATAGTATCTATACCAAGCAATCATATGCCTAGCTAAAAACGAAACAGAACAAAACCAAAACCAAAACCAAAAACAAAAAGTTGTGCCTCTATGGAATAAGAGAATGATGGGAAGTTTTCTAGAGAATGTAACATCTGACCCGAATTTTGAAGCAAAACTGTCAGTGGAACAATCCATTCATGGAGTGATATGAGAAGACAAATAATGTAAACATAGAAAGTGGCATTTATAGAGGTAAGGAGATCAGAGGAAGCAGGCTATGGTACATTATGTTAACTTCTGTAATATTAAAGTTGGACTTTTATCTTGGTGAAAATTTAGAATCATTATTGGATTTTGCAACTGCATTGCATTATCTGGTGTTGACAGACAAGTAATAGACTCAGAATGGTGGGCTAGCATGAGGAGAGACTGGAGGCCAGATGGCTGTTTTCAAAATATTGCCCATGATATAGAGCAGAAGAAAATCTGAAAACAATGAAGATAGATCTTTCAGGTGGAGTAGAAAAGATTTGATAAGAAATTGGATGTGAGACTGAAGGGGAGAAAAGTGTCAAACATTTATCAGGAGTTTCTATTTTGGTTCCTCAGGTAGAATAACCGAGATCAGAAATGCAATGTGACAAGTAGGTTTAATGGAATAAATAGGTCACCTTTGGACTTACGTATGAATTGACTATGAAACATTTTTTTGAATGAGTGTAAGTTTTAAGATAAATATATGAATTGATTATACTGTTTAGGCAAATATGAAGAGTTAAAACAGTCCAATACTGTAAAATATTATATTTGTGATATGATTCCCTTGCACATCACACACCTCACTACCTCAAATGTATCTAAAAAGTCAGATATAAAATTATTCTTCTGCATGGCAGATAGATACCCTGCCTTTAATGGAATAAAAGGTATAAGACAACATTTACAATGAAATATTGTGTGCTCTAAATCATCTTAGATGTTCAAGTGTCTTCTTAGTTACCATTGTTTAATATTTTAAAGAGTGAAGCGGGAAACAGTTATAACTTGCTATTACATAACTGCAAGTGATAAATAAACACATTTACCTAAAACACAGCAATTAAAAACACTTTTGAAGATTTAGAATGGGTCCCTTAGGGTACTACAACCTCATTTAAAAATACTGTATATTGAAACATTCTCTGTGAACTATCACTTCTTAATTATGTACTTTTCTCAAGATCAAATATATAAACTGAAGGGAATCTTATAACTGAAGTGGAGGGAAGATGCTGTGAACGATATTACCCTATTAATGAGTCTGTAAATAAGAAATAAAAAGGCCAAAGATAAGCTATCCAAATAAAAATCAATAAACATTGTTTCCACAAACATCTAGCAAATCATATGTCAAAATTCTAGAAGATGTCATTTAAACAACCACTTTAAAGTCATTTGACTTAAAAAATTGTTTCATTTCTCCAGAGCATAGTTTTAAATCATATACCCTCTATGATTTCCAGTTCTTAACATTTCCCTTTTGAGAAGTAGATGATTTACAGACCTTCTTAAGCATGAATAAAATCCCTTAATTTGAAATATTGAAATTTTTGAAAATGAAAAATTTTATAAGGTAAGTCCTCTTCACTTCTATTCTTTCTTCTGATTTCCTTCTGCTGTTTCATTTTATTATGCTTTTATGTAAAAATAATAAAAATTTATAAAAATATATAAAAATGACAATTTAAAAATATATCTGAGATAGTAGAGTAATCTCATATTTAAAAGTTCAAACTTCAACCTATATTTTAAAAAGTTATTATGAAAAAGAATAAAAGTATTTGTGCCACATTTTCTTAATCCAGTCTATCATTGTTGGACATTTGGGTTGGTTCCAATACTATGCAGCCATAAAAAATGATGAGTTCATCTCCTTTGTAGGGACATGGATGAAACTGGAAATCATCATTCTCAGTAAACTATCGCAAGGACAAAAAAATCAAACACCACATGTTCTCACTCATAGATGGGAATTGAACAGTGAGAACACATGGACACAGGAAGGGGAACATCACACTCTGGGGACTGTTGTGGGGTGGGGGGAGGGGGAAGGGATAGCATTAGGAGATATACCTAATGCTAAATGACGAGTTAATGGGTGCAGCACAGCAGCATGGCACATGTATACCTATGTAACTAACCTGCACATTGTGCACATGTACCCTAAAACTTAAAGTATAATTAAAAAAACCTCAAAAAAAAAGAAAAAGAATAAAAGAAAAAATTCAGGGTAAAATAAGAAAAAACAACATTTTGGGAAAAATAATTTATTATATCTTGGTTCCAAATGAACCAAAAACCAAGATTCTCCTTGATATATAGCTAAAAGATTGATCTTCATTGTATTTAGTATTAGCAAATATTTAGTAATGTCCAGGAATATTTATTTAAGTTGATAGAGGAATGCTTTCACACACAGTTTTATTAGTATTATTTAGCTATCTTAAAAATGCTATGATAAAAATAGCAAAGTAACAGTGCTCATAAATTTGGTGTAAGAGATGCCTCACTTTTGTTTAAAAACTAAATTTCCATTCTTGATCATCGACCTCACTGCACCTACTGCTAGCCAATGAAAAGCAAGTTATATAAGTGAAATGATTTGCCTAGTTATTCAGCGAATCTGAAAGGTTCAGTATGATAAGTGACATATTAATAAGCACACTTCAACTCAGAACCAAATGGCTCTGGAGATCTAGTTTTATATTTTACAAATTTCATAATCTATATAATTGTTTATTTTACATAAGGATACATAAGAGTTTGCTTCAATATTAAAATCCTCACGTTTTACTCTTCTGAGGACTTAATACTGTTTTGTTTACTTCCCAGTAGAGACAAAAATGACGATTTTAATAAGCAGGCAAATTCGTCTGCTTTTTTAAATATATGGGCAAATGTAAATTGTAGACACAGTAAAAGTTATGTCTTGGACAGTGTACTCTCAACAATAATAAATCAATATGAGCACTGAATAATCTCTTATTAAGAAATTGTCCATCTAAAAAGCAGATTAGTCCAGTTACTTTTTGTTGTTTTGTGAATATTTGTGTATGTAAATGTGCTTTAGTTTTATTTAATGATGGCTTTTTAATCAACTTAATAGGCATCTTTATAGACCTGAAAACTTACTAATCGTTTTAATAGGAATAATAGCCAAAGAAATTCCCACACATGAAAGGCACATTTTAAGAAATATACTAAACTTTATGTTCAGCTGTTTGCAGGATGAGGTTCATAGTAAAATTGGAAGAAGATACTACAGATTTTCTTGATCATATAAATTGTGACAATATTCTCAAAATGCTAATAACTTGTTTTTTGTTTAAGGCATCAGTGTCTATATATTTCATTCATTCTGGTAGTCTTAACCACTGCCCCCCACACCTACCACCCCAGTTTCGTTAGTTGAAAATGGTGAGCAAGCTATACTTCTCTTCATCTACAATGGGAGGGATCATGGGAGGGGAAGAGAAGCGTATGAGAGAAAACATCTTTCCTCTTTTCCCTTTTAAGTTGATTCATGTAGATAACTCAACAGGCCAGCATATTTTTCTAAATCTGCTTGTCTTCACTGTACCAAATGGGTGCTTTGAGCTATTCTCCAACTTGCAATGATATTACATAATTTGTTCCCATTATATATTTTAAGTTATCTTAGTAGGAAATAGGGTGTTCAAATATCCATTCTTAGGTTATTTTTTGTTAAGACAAATTTCCAGACAAAAAAGAAAGTGCCATGATATTAGTTCTCCCTTAGACAAATTATTTCCTTCAAGGAGGCAAGAATCAAGATGCTGCAGACCAGTATGGATTGGCCACTGCCAACAGTAGTTTATTTTTAGTTCCAATATTGAATATGTCCTCCTTCTTGAACATTTCTAGTGTCTTCCAGTGTTGTTTTTCTACTCCTATAGTGGTGTCTTCTCTGTATCCTTTGATAATATCTTTTAAAATTCTGTTGATTTCAGTGGCCTTGGCAAGTGCAGGTTCTGAGGAGCTAATTTCAGGGACAGATAGTGCACGTGGTGTTGGGAACAAATATACTCAATCAGTTTACATTTGCACTTCCTATGCTTAATAAAAAAAAAGGAGGACATTATGTTAAGTACAATAAGCCAAGCACAGAAAGACAAATACCACATAATTTCACTCATGTGGAATCTAAAAAAAACAGAACTCAGAAATAGAGAGTGGAATGGTACTTCCCAGAGGCTGGGGTGGAATGAGGATTGGGAGATTTTGGTTAAAGGATACAAAATTTCAGTTAGATAGAAGGGATGTATGTTCAAGAGATCTATCCTGCAACATGGTGACTACAGTTAACATCAATGCACCATATTCTTAAAAAAATCACTATGTATATTTCAAGTGTTCTCACCACATAAAGTATGTGAGCTAATGCACATGTTAATTTGCTCTGTTGGGCCAATCTACAATGTACATGTATTTTAAAGAATCACGGTTTGCACAATAAATAGATACAATTTGTATTTGTCAATTACAAATCAATTTGTTTAATTTTTTTTATAAAACACACACACAGACACACACATATACACACACAGAGCTATCACTTCATTTCCTACTTCTCAAATCCTGTAAGAGAGGTTAAGGTTATTCTAACCTTTTACAAACATTAAAAAAAAATAGAGTTGTGACTTAGAATGTAACAACAGTTTTAGTCTATGCCTTAAAAATTTCTTAAATTGTTACCGTAAAGCCTTCATGCACATTATTATTTAGGGGTGATTGAAAATATTTTCATATATACATATATACATACTATATATATACACACACACACATACACATATATATATGTATATATATGGATTGTGTGGGCAGGTGCTTGTGTGCTTTGAATCTCCCACTGGTGCCAAAGTAGAGAGCATCTCAGTTTTCTTATCAGCTTAGCCCAGTAAGATACAGAAGGTAAAGGACTGGTGTGTTTTAAAAACTGCCAAATATCAAAATATTGAGTTAAACTTTTTATTACACGCTTTTTGTGACTATTTGCATTCATTGTTTTTGTTTGTTTTCTTGAGACAGAGTCTTGCTCTGTCTTCCAGACTGGAGTGCAGTGGCTCCATCTCAGCTCACTACACCTCCCAGGTTCAAGTGATTCTCCTGTCTCATCCTCCCAAGTAGCTGGGACTACAGGAGCACGCAACCACGCCCGGCTAATTTTTGTATTTTCAGTAGAGATGGAGTTTCACCAGGTTGGCCAGACTGGTCTCAAACGCCTGGCCTCAGGTGATCTGCCTGCCTCTGCCTCCCAAATTGCTGGAATTACAGGCATGAGCCACCGTGCCCAGTCTGCATTCATTCTTTAATAGAGCACCTGTCACACAATATTGTCACTACCTGCCCCTTTGTTTGCAGCTAGCTCCTCATATAATCTATGCTCTGTAATAGTGCGTTGTTTACCTTATAATCTTAGGACTTACCACAGTGTTCCATATGATCAATATTGTAAAATAAAATAAGGAAACTTGAGAGTCCAATATAAAAAAAAGATAAAAAAGTAGAGTGCAGCAAAATTACTACACCATATGATCTTGTTTGGAAATATCTGCATTATGTGTGTGTGTATACATGTATATGTGAGAGTATTTAAAAAAACACAGCTATTTTCTTAATGAATACTTTGGCTAAATTCAATTTATCAACCTATATGCAAATGGCCAAGGCCACTAATCTTGGAATAAAGGGGGCATATCAAATGCTTTTAGTAGTGATTAAAATTGGCAAAAAGGCCAGATTACCTTTTACTAAAACAATAATTAGTCAATATATCAGAATTTTATTGTACTTCTTACTTAAAATTGTACTTCATTGATTTTTATCTTCGCATCTTTAAAATTTTGTGAATTGACCATAAAATAATGTTTTATAGAGCACTGACATAGTTGAGTCAAATTGAATTTTCAGAAACGCATATCATCACAGGTTTTTATAGGTCTTAATAAATAACTTTACTTCTTTTTTTTTCCTTTGTCATCATTCCCTTTACTTCCCTAAAACATTCTTTGGGCGTTTTAAGAGGGACATTTTGATAATCTACACAGTAGCATTTGGTATCTCAGCAATTCCAATGGCATGAATGTTTTCATTACGTGTTATAGTAAACTAAGTAGAGAGACAGTGCAATATAATAGTAATAACAACAAAGTATTTACAGTCAGATACGCTTGAGATTATTTATTGGCTGTACCACCCTTTGCCACGTGAATATGGGTAAGTAGACCTTGGTATTGTGATTTGTCAAATGAAACAATGCTGTCCTATAGAGTTGTGGAATTAATTAAATAAAATACTATAAATCAACCAATACCATGTATGGCATGTCATCTGGCAAAAACCAGTGAGAAGTTATATAAAGATGTATAAAGACAGTATAGCTATCATCTTATTTCTTTGGTATTTAAGAACTCTTAGTGTTTTTGAGATGAAATGAACTTTAGATACTATCTAGTCTTGTGGTTTCTAAAAGAAGACCCATAAGCCATCTTTGTAGCTCTTAGAAAATTCACATCCCTGTGCCCTGTAGTCAGGTGATTTCCACTATGATTTCTACTATTTCCACTATGATAATATGGATAAGGCCCAAAATAGGTATTTTTGTGAAGCTTTTAAACTAATACTGAAGTGTAGTCAACTTGAACACCACTGATCTTTGTGCAACCTACTGATTTCATAAATATGTAACCGAGGAACATGGAGGTAATTTGTTTTTGAGCTTATTGTTGTCAGTTCAGGCTTTTGTTAATGATGTCACTTCCACATATAGGGCTTATGTACGAGAACCAGGAGGGCTTGTGAATTTAAAGCAGTATGCTCATGGAGTGGTCAAGACTAAGAAAGTCTGTGATAGCTATGCACTGATGAAATATGGACCAGGAGTGTCAGGCTCAGTGTCAGAGTTCTGTGGCCATTAAGGCTTTTGCCCATTTTACATTCTAGCCAGTTTTCAAAAAGAGGGTAATATTTAGCGAATGGGAATGGATAGTTTTCTTGAATTCATCAATAAAAATATAACTACCTCATGCTTAACCTTAAAGGCAGGATCACATGGAGAAAAGGAGCTTAAATGTAGATCTTTGAAATACAAAGAAATTGCTGATTGTTAGATATTTCATTCTGGAGATTGTCTTGATGTACTTTTTGATTGGGCAAAACAATGTTATTATTTATAAGCTTTATAATTTAATATATGACTATTAGTCTTATCCTTACTCTTAGAATTGACCTTACGCTTATTATTTAAGTGTGCTGAGTACGGTTGGCAGAAAGTTATTATCCTTCATTTAATAGCCCAGGAATCTTTTATTTTCTCACAACTTCTTGTCATGTTGCAGCCTGGGATTCTCAGGGGTTTCTCTCTCTCTTTTTTTTTTTTTGAGATGGGGTCTCACTCTGTCACCCAGGCTGGAGTGCAGTGGCACAATCTCAGCTCACTGCAAGCCCCTCCTCCCGGGTTCATGCCTTTCTCCTGCCTCAGCCTCCCGAGTAGCTGGGACTACAGGCACCCGCCACCATGCCTGGCTAATTTTGTTTTTGTATTTTCAGTAGAGACGGGGGTTTACCATGTTAGCCAGGGCGGTCTCGATCTCCTACCTGGTGATCCACCCGCGTCAGCCTCCCAAATTGCTGGGAATACAGGCATGAGCCACTTTTCAGCTGATGTTGCTGAAAAGTGGCAGACCTCTCACTTAAAACTGAGTCAAAACTCCAGTGGAAAAATTAAGGAATTATAAATCTAGTAACTAAGATGACTAAGGCATAAACTAATCTGAATCTTATTTCCTCATCAGTGTATTCAGCAGAAACTTATTTAGTAATTTTCTTGGGATTAAGAAATAATATTGGCAATTAAAACCATTGTTTCAGTTTTAAAATAAGTATGCCATTTTCAGAACAAAACAGGACATCTAATTCTACAATACTGAATGAAATGAATAAATAAGAGTTTATTAAAGATATTTTGAATTCAATTTGGATATTGACCTATTGTTAGGAAAACACAAAAATAATATATATATAAACCTCCAAAAAGTAAGGTACAGTTTTCATAAATTCTAAGGCAGCTCACATTCCATAATAAACCTTTGGAAGAGAAGTATGGTTGGTACATTTGTTTTTTTTTGACAATGTATCCAGCATTCAAATACAAAATTATGAAAACTACCATTTGTACTGGAGGTTTCTATTTTTTCTTATTATATTCATTTTGAGCAGTTGAGCATTAAAAAAAATTCAGAGTGTTTGATGTAAATGATTCTATGCTATGTAAATGATCCTCTGCTAATAGATATTATTACTACTTAACAGCTACATAGTGCTTTCATCTGCAGATCCCAAAGGGATTTATGAGCGTTACAGTCTTCATTTTTTAGAAGATGAACAAGAATTGTAAGAAAATGACTATATAGTCACTCTGAGGCTTTTTGAGCATGTGACTAGCAATACACTGAAATTGGAATGGTTGGAATGCAAATGGTCTACTTATACAAGTATTTGCTTTTACATGGAGAATTGCCCAATCTGGTCCCAGAGGAAAAAAAGATGCTTGTTTTACTGTGTCTATTTGGTGTTTATTTTATTTTGATTTGGTTTTCTTCTTCTTTTACCTCTCTGCTTTCAAACACATTGTTTCTACATTCATTTTAATTTTTTCTCTAGTTATTCCTCCAACCCACTATTAGAATATGAGAATACTCTTTTCAAGAAAGAGGGGATAAGGAATGTTTACAACTGTTATTTACTGGCCAAAAAGTTTCACCTATTTCATCTGTAGTCATAAAGCTATGGATGTTAATGGTTGTATCATATCCCTTGATTAAACAATTTCAAGAAGTAAAAGAAGTTCAAGCATCAGGAACTGGATTAAAAAAATACTTTTGAGCAGAAAGCTCTTTCTTTCATCTCTAAGTTGCCATCTTTTTGTTCGGAGTAATGTTGATTAGAAAATTGTCCTTATAAATCATTCCAGAGACTATATTTTCACTTCTGTTCATTGTATTGGAACCTTCTTAGCATTATCTGTACTGTTTACTACATTTCTTTTTTTTAAAGTACAACTTTTTGTGGAACAAATAAAAGTTAGATGGAAGGATAATGTATGGAATTATTAGCTATTTTTATTGCATACTTGCTGTCGTAGGAGACTTGTGAAATGAAGAGTTCACTGCCACAATATCTACAGTTCTGGTTGGAGCTCACATTCTTCAGGCAGTTTTTAACACCTATCATATTTCAGGGCAAAAAAAAATATGAGATGTTGAAAGGTACCTCCTAAGATACATCCCACTAAGTCCTCTGCTTGTTTTAAGAGATAAAGGCACTGTGGAGAGAAAGGGTAGAGAGCCTTGTTAAGGGTTAAGCGGAGAAGGTTGTAGAAGCCAATTCAAAATGACAGGGAGAGTTGACTCAGGCTGACAAGGGAAAAGCTATTATGATTGTTTTCCTTGTTTGTTGCCTTATTTGTTTGAGGGTAGTAGGCCTTTATTCTTCTTGTCCTGATTTGGTTATGTGGCTGTAGAATGTACACGTGAGAGCCAGACGCATGAATGAGGATCTGCAGCATTTTCCATTCTGCATGGCCAGCTCGGCTGCTGTGAGGGCCATCTCTGAGCCCATCCGGACCATCTGTGTGGCCCCTGGAGGAAAAGGACTCCACTAGGCTCAGCCTGAGGAAGAGGAGCAACAATTATGACTTAACCACAGAGGAACAGGGTTGAGGTCTATTGCCTATATAAACTCTTCTAATTGCTGTATGATCCTGAGATGGAAAAAAATCTTAAAACACAAAGGAAATTGAACTTCCCTACTGGCAAGTTAGGAGTTGGGTCGAATTGAAAACTTGCATTAGGAAAATACCTATGAAGTTTATTTTCGCAGGTGAGGAGTGTGGGAAAAATTATAACTCTTAAAAATATATGAATCAATGTTTTAGAAATATTTAAAACCCAAACTTACGGTTCTTAGAAAGAAGAGCCTATCTAAATGATTTATTTAATTGGAAACATAGTCTATTTCAGCATGATTTATTGCTTGTAATTTGCTTTTCATATTCTAAACCTTAATAATTTATTGTAAAAATGTATTTAAAGATGTGAAATTGAAATTTTTTTGACTTAGTAATAACAATAACTCTGCATAAAAATCAATGACTTTTTTTAACTTCTGTAATAAAGATATTTACAATAACCAAACTCATGATCTTTTTAGTTAGTTTCACTGGAGAAGTTCTGTTATTCCAAAATAAATAATAAATGATATTCATATAAGTATCCTAACTTTTTCCTAATGCCTGAAAACTTTTTGACGAAATAGTAACGTCATTTTACATTTATAAATAAATTAAAAAAAAATGAATATATATATATACACATATGTGTGTCGTTGTATAAATTGTACATTAATTTAAATCTACACAAACCTGAAAATCACAGCCATTTTAACCTTGAGAACACATTTGAATGGGGAAAAGGGGGTGGTGGTAAAAATCTAAATTTATCATGAAAAAAATTTAGCTACTTACAGTTAACCTTGGAAATATTCTATTACAAAAAAAAACTGTCTTTTTTAAGGCTCTTAAATGAAAGTTTTTATTTAACATTTTATTTTAAGAATAGAGCTCTAAAGTTATATTCAGCAATTCTTGCCTGACAGCAGAATGTGTACAGACCACTGTGTTGCACAGTGGCAGCTTTGTTTTACCCGGGTACCGCAGTTATGGATGTTGGATACTGTTGAGACTCGGTATTTTGTAGCAACAAATTAATAGTTATTTGGAGATTAAATTGCTCAATTGTTTTATCTGTGAAAACTACTAAGCAATCTATCTTTTGGTAATGAAGATAGCTGATAATTAAAAACAGAGTAGAAAATTAGCCTACTGGTAATTTCCAGTAATACAAATAATATTCTTCGATGTTTACTCTGAGCCAGACCCTATTCTGTATATTTTTGAACTCATGTAATACAGATAATAACCGAGATAAGTGCTGTGTTTATTTCCATTTTTACTTCTGAAGAAACAGAGGTATAGAGAGTTCAAACAACTGAAGTTCAAATTCAGGCAGCCTCCCTCCAGAGCACGTATTCCTCAGCATTGCGCCACAAGGCCTCTGCTAAATTAAAACTTACTTACATTTAATGATGGCTCACTATGCACCCAACATTTAACTATGCCCTTTAAATTATTATACCATGTGCTACTTAAAATACAACTATAATGTAGAACTGCTATTATTTCAAATTTCAGGTATTAGAAAAATACAGACACTAAATAACTTAAGTAAATATGAAAATAAATGTAGATGGCAAATGTGAACCCAGTTCTTTCTGAGAACCTGGTGTGCTTAACATGTCTGCCAAACTGTTGTCCTACAAAAATGTACATATAATATTTTAATCACTATTTTCAATAATATTACATTTTTAGACTGTTCAAATGTCCGTACTTTTGACTTTTTTTGAATAACCTGAATCATTGAGTATATGTTTTTTGACTACAGAAAAATAACACATCTTTAGCATCAAGAATTTTTGAGTATGTGATGTCTTTAAAAATATTTATATTAATTGACCTAGTTACTTTTTATTAGAAACCTGATCCTAAACCTACACACAGAAATGGTCTTATAACTAAGAGCTATTCATTACATAAATATATAGCAATAAAAGGACAAATTAATTATACCTAAATATCAAGCAATAAGAAAAGAGTGGTGTAAACTGTAATATTTATTCTTAATGGGATATTGTGCATTCATTAACATGAGAATCATTTATAGAAGTCTTTTCAAAATAAAAATGTGGATATACACTGGCCTATATAGTCATGTTAAAATTATGTTTACTGATTTTTCTCTCTTTTTATACTCTTGTAATTTTATTTTTTTCCTTTCCAGGTATTTTTGTGTCAAGCAGAAAAAGACTGAGAAAATGCAATGGCAGGGTCATAGCATAAGTTAGAATGCATAGTTATACAGTTCATCGTGCTCAAGAAATTACCTGCAATTAGAATAATGTACTTTTTCTGGCTTATGTGGTGGTTAAAGCCTTAATTTTCAAGGATATACCATTAAAGGTCATTTAGTAAAGGTGGCCAGAGGTAATTGGGAAAGAACAGTAGTGCTATTTATGTTAGAAGAAGATTGTTTGGAAATGGTATGAATAGAATAACTACAAACATCAGTGCTAAAGTTCACTTTTCTCAGCTGGTTGTAGAGAAAGCAGAGTAAACCTGCTCTGATTGCTTTAGCTTCATTCTTTCTGGGCATTCTCATTTATGTACTGAGCTCCTAATCTATTGGTCTCGGGTATCAGCGTGATATCTTCCCATGGAGAGTATCATATCAGGCCTGGAAACCGAGAATGGGTGTGAGAGCATGTAAGGCCAGCCAAGCCCAGATGGCTTCCTAAAATAGAAATGAAATCTGGACTCTCTGTGTGTTTCCAGGTCTAGCACTGTTTACCTGCATCCAGAGTTTTTAGAATAATTAGCTTTGAGAATACATAATGCTAGCCGTAGTGTTTAGAATAAACAACCAGTCCTAGATAGCCTATGTAAGGAGTGTGGAGGGTGATAGGGGAAATCTCAGTACATGGGAGAGTAGGACCAGGGTGACCTGGGATCAAATCCTGATTTACCCTATTTATTTACTGTGCAGTCTTGAGCAATTTACCAAACTACAGCAAATTCTAGTTTTCTTGTCGATAAAATTAGGTTAAGTATAGAGTCTGATTCATGAAGTTGCTACAAGGATAAATTAGGAGTGGCTTTCTCTACAAGATGTTCCACATACAGCATTTCCATCACTGGTAGTAATGTTATACCTAAAACTCCATGGGGCAGTAGATAAGAGTTAAGCAATTACTCCATACACTTGCTACATAGGGAAAAAGGTTTGGGTAATCTCCAGATTAGGAATTTTTTGTTTTACAAGGGTGTCTCAGATGAGGAAGGATGGAGTTCAGAATAAGGAATTAAAGACAAATCTGGGAGAAGTCAGGACAAGAAGGGCTATTGCACAATTTGAAGTGTTTCATGAAAGTGACAGCTTGCTCACAGAGAAAAGTAAGAAAACCCCAATTTGCAGTTAAAATTCTCTATCTGGAGGATAAATGATATGGAGTGACTGCTGTCTGTATGCTGCAGCAAACACCAATGAAACTAATTTAGAGAAAGAATTTTAATCAGAAGGAGATTATGAACTAAAACCTTTTAGTTTTGAATATAAAAGAGAAAAAGCAAATTGTAATTTTATGTGCTGAACATAATAGAGAATAAATTGGAAATTAAACAGAATAAGGTATGGCAGGGATTGGAGATAATGTTTTAAGAAACAGAGAGAGTTGAAAAGATAATTATACAAAAACACACACCAGAAGCCAATGAATTAGCTGCTTCTTCTGCACTGTAAGCTTCTGTTTCTATAGTTCTACGTATATTTCTTCCCTTCAATAAATAAAATATTCATTTGGGAAAGAAGACTGCCCTCCCTCCCTTCCTCACAATGTTTTTTCTTCCCATTTAGGTAAATTAGGCAAACATGTGAACATTAGGTAAAATCATTGTAAATGGTTTTTTTAAGAAATCAATAATTAATTTCAACAAATAGATTAAGTGTGAATTGAACTTTCATTATATAAAACAGGGGGGGGAGGGGATTTTACCAGTTTTGATTGAACCCTGGGCTCCCTAAACACTTGTGAGCAACTAAGCTCGCCTCCTCTCCTGACCGGACTAGGCACAGAGCCCAGGATGTCTTGGCTTTTTCCTTTCAAACATTTTATATTCTTGGGTCACATAAGGTTGAATTCTGGCCCATCAAATAATATGTTCTTCAGCCATTGCTAGTCTATGTTTCATGTCACTGGACTTCCCCGTGCAGTTTGCAGAATCCTGAGCTACCATCCGGGAAGAAAATCACTTCCTTTTGATTTTATCATCCATTGTTCTTACATTGATTTTAGCAGTACAGGCGGGCATCCTCTCCTCAGGTTTCCCACTGGTAAAATAATATTTTCTTGTGGTATTAGATTTAATCACAGTTTCATCTGATATCAGTCTGATTCTTCATTACAAAGTTCACAATCAAAATTTTGCCTAATGGTTTTGTGACCTATTTGTCTTCGTCAGTTCAGGCTGCTGTAACAAAATACCACAGACTGTAGATGATATAAATAGCAGAAATTTATTTATCACAGTTTTGAAGGCTGGGAGGTCCAAGATTAGGGCTCCAGTAGGTTTGGTGTCTGATGATGGTTTGTTCCTCTTAGCCAGTGCCTTCTCACTGTATGCCCACAGGAAGAAGGGGTAACACAGCTCTCAGGAGTTTGTTTTAAAGGGAACTAATCCCATACATAAGGGTGAATACCTCATGATATAATCATCTGCCAAAGACATGGCCTCTTAATACTGTCACCTCGAGGGTTTCAATATGCAAATTTTGAGAGGACACAAATGTTCAGACTATAGCACTGTTGAAAGTCATGATCTGGATCCACTATTGTCTTGTTATACAATTTTTGATAACAGCAACAATGTATATTTTCTTTTTATATAGGTTTGAGGTTCTTTTATTTACCTCTTTTTATTTTTTTATTTCTCTTTTGTAAAATATATAAATGCTGGAATCAATAGAGATTACTTGTACTTTTCTTCAGAGAGTATTTTGCCTACTAAAACCCTGGAATTTGTATATTGCTATAATATCCTGGTCCCTAAACCATATCTTTAGAGATATAGACATTATCATCCTGTATTTTGAAAATTCATTTAATGAGCATGTACTACTTGTAGACTGGGAGAGAAGGTATTTTTAGAAACTAGGTAACAGAATGTAGAGTATATTCAGTTCAAATCATTACTGGTAAATAATTAAATATTCCTCCATCATAAAAATTTAAGGAGACCCTTTACTTATAATGGTAGTTTGAGGACATATTGAAGTATTTTATGTAAGTTAGCCTACTTACTAGTACTTTGTATGATAAATGATTCTTTTGTCTTAAAGCAAATGAAAGAGATGGCCCTCAAGACAAATACAATTCTGACAGCCCAAAATATGTCATAATGAACTATTACTACCCTATTCAATTATGATAAAGATTTTCAATAAACTTTTGACATTTTTGAAAGCCTGATTCTCAACATCATTATAGAGTGATTGGAACTATTAATCCTCTCCGAGAACTTTCAGTCTCCAAATCCACACTACCATTTTGCAGATTATTTTTAGAGGAGCCTTTTTCCTTCACTGGAATAGTCACAATGCAGACCTCAGCACCACCACGGAGCCACACTAATATTTACAGAGGACCCTGGGGAAAGAAGGCAATAATGTGATCATAGTGGTGTATGCTGTAGAAAGTAAAGGAATGATTTCTAATACAAATACAAAGTGGACAGAAGTGGGTATTCTTGACATCAGGTTTTCAAAACAGAGCAGAACCTTCATGCTAGATTATCTTCTGGTAAATACAGACTAATAATTATCTGCTGCAGAAAGTTAATTTTATGGTGTATAATTTTAAGTAATGATGTGTTTAATCCATGATGGAAGAAGGGTTTAAATTCCCTTAGAATGAAATATAAGAATTGCTCCAGAAGTGCACATTACCTAGAATCAAAGAATCTTAAATTTTATCTTGGCAGAACACGAAACTATATCACCTTTAAAAATTTCCAAGCTAGATGCTCCAGGATGGAACTGTATTTGGAATATTATCTCAAGTCGTCACGACTAAAAAGTTCCATGCAATCTACAAATATTTACTTAGTAACTCCTATGTGCAGAAAATTGGAAAGCATGAATGACACAGATTGTTATTTTATTACGAATAAATAAAACCATGTATGCTTTGTTATAAGTGACAAATTCACACATCCACCAAGGATAGGCAAGAAAAATAAAAGCATGAAGCTGTCTGAAGATAACTGGTAGCACTGTACAAAGGGAACTCTGCCAACCTGAAAAGGCATCAGTCATTACTATTGGGTTTGAAGGACAGGGAAAATTATTTCTCAATTCTGATGAATTTTTGCATACAACCAACTGAGGTCTATAGTTGTAGTGCTACCCAATCTAATTGTTGAATGGTATTTGGGAATATCTATTTTTATATAAATTATTAGTTTTTAAAAGTAAAAACCTCTTTTCAAGCCAAAATATATATATTTTTGGAACTTCTACTAGAACCTGTTAGATGCAGGCAGACATCATAGCCGCTTCACACTCTTCAATACGCCAGTTTCCGCACAATAACATTAGTGGAAAGAAGGAAACAATTGTCTGTTACTATTTCTTCCTTAATGTGAACAATTATGTTTAAGTGCATATTTGTTATATACAAAATAAGAGTAAACAGTATTCTTGGCCATCCTTTTCACCCTCATGTATTAAATGAGTTCTTTTAGAACATATCTACCTCCATTCTTCCCTCAATCAAATTTGGGTTTTGTTAAGATTACATGGAATTTTACTTTAATATATTTGTTTTTATTGCTATGAATGTGTGCCTTTTCTGTTTCAAAAGCTAATTTTTAATAATAGCATCACATCTCAGAAAATGATATCGACTTTTAAATAATTAAGTTGTAAAGGTTTTATTTCTCACCATTCTTTCTCAAATACCACAACTTTCCCTTTATATGACTTTTCATCTTAAAAAATATATAGTTCTTTCTATTTTCTAAAAGCAGAAAATACTAATAACTTGAACTACTCAAAATCAAGTGAACTCCAAAAAATGCTTGGCTTTCATGAGAGTCACCTGTCAAAAGAGTGAGGCAAGTCCACAGCTCAATAGTGTCACTGTGTTAATGATTACAATTTCTAGTCTCAGTTCTGACTCTGGATCTTATGGACTTAAGTCTTTTTTATACCATTTGTCTCATTTGGGCCTGCAATTGAAGGTATTGAGAAACATTTCCAATTGCAAGACTTATACTCACTTTTAAATTCAAGTTTGAATTTCCTATCTGCACAGTAGGAGCTTTCCACATGAAAAACGAACCCATGAAAGGGCTGGATGATTGAACATTCATTCCTTTCCCTGCTTTGCAATGAATATAAACTGACTCTGTTTCAGTTTATGCACCTACTCATTTTCTACTTTAGAGCAGCTTTTATGCTAAGAAAAAGTCTGAAAAACTTCTATCTCCTGGGAAGAAAAGTGTGTTATATGTCAAAGCTGCAATTGTTAAAAGACTGTAATATTTTCTAAGGGTTGGAATCAAGGTCAAATCAAAAGGCTAAGTCCCTTTACTTTCCTGCATATATTGTTTCCATTTCTCTTCTCTCTATTATAATCATGTCTATTTGCTAAAAGGTTATGCAAAATAAATTAGGCTTTTAGAGCACTGACAGCTCAGCCATAGAGAAATTCTTTCCTCTATTTTTTTGCACTTTATACATGAACACCTGCTACACTTTTAATGAGCTTTAAATTATACTTTACACCCATGTAACAAGAATGGATATTGCTCTTTAGTTATAATCAAAGAAAATATCAGGATGACTTGTTGCTAAGAGCAACAGCTTGTCAAAAAAATAATACTTCCTCCACTAACAATATAGATAGATAGGTCCAGGTTGATAGATAGAAAATATGATTTATACTACATTGAGAGTTATCAATCTTTTAAATTTTCTTGTCTTCTGTGATTTAAGAGGAATTTGTCATTGCTCTATGACTATGCTGAGATTATTTTCTTTTGTTCTTATCTTTGTTCTTTCAGTCTCCTTGCTTCTAATAGGCCAAAGGATGAAAAAGTAGATTTTCTTTTATGCTTTTATTTTCTTGGACACATTAAAATGGAGAGACTTTAAATAAGATTTGGAGAGCCTCTTGAAATACCACAATATAACGACATATATTTATTGTTTGACCTATTTCCCCCTATAATCTGACTCACTTTTAAATTCTTAACGCTTCTTAAGTGACCTTTAGTCACTGTCAGATTGCCTTTTAAAGGAGTTTACTGTATGATAGGAAAGAAAGTATTAAAAATGAACTAGAGCAATTTGGCTACATACTACGACTCAGATGAGAGATCCTAGACTTCAGGGTCAATCAGAATTAATTTCTTTTCTAAAATGGTATGAATTTAATGCCACCTATTGAGAAGTAAGACGTATGTGTGGAAAAGAGGACTGTGATGAAAGTAAAACATAATCTAGGGCCAGACATGGTGGCTCAGACCTGTAATCACAGCAGTTTGGGAGGTCAAGTTGGGAGGATCAATAGAACCCAGGAAATTGAGACCAGCCTGGGCAACATGGTGAAACCTCATCTCTACAAAAAATACAAAAACTAGCCAAGTGTGGTGGCACATGCCTGTAGTTCTAGCTATTCTGGAGGCTGAGGCTGGAGGATTGCTTGAGCCTTGGAGGTCGAGGCTGCAGTGAGCTGAGATAATGCCACTGCACTGCAGCCTGGGCAACAGAGTGAGACCCTGTTTGAACATAAACAAATAAATAAATAAGTTAAAATATAATCCAGTGGAGCCAGGAAAGGGGGCCATGGCAGCAAGAACTGTCATGAAGGTTTCTGTCCTATGTCCTATTTAGGCACTGGGAGAGGCAGGATTTCATGTGATGCAAGTATTGCGACTATGGATTTCACCACCAGAATCTGAAAAGGAGGAGTATGTGCTTCTCTATTAAGATTGATACCTATCCATTACTTACCTTATGTTGTGTCATACCGCAGATGAGTTCATAACATAGACTGATTGTTACGTTTAGATTTATTGTTTGTAAGATTTTCTCTTTACACTGAGAGTAGGGCTGGTTTAGGTATAATTATGTTGACTGTTATTTAAAATGCTTTTGAATATAGAGGTGAAAAGCAATAAAAAAACAGAGATAGATAAGGATAAAACAATAGAATGGACAGGAAGGAGAGTATGAGAATTGGTGAAGAAAGATAAAGAAAAAGAAAAAAAAACAAAGAAACAAAAAAGAAATATTTTAGCATGTATGTCCACGCCACTGTCAAGTCTTCACATGAATTTTGAAAACAATTCCTTTTGCTTAACTAGCAACATAGTCAACATAATACATTCTATAACCTCAGCTTTCAACTTGGCCATCTTATATAAAAATGTTCTTTTAATTTTTAAACAAAAATAAGTAAAATGTAAATAATCTTTGTTTTTGTATTTCCTAAAATAATGTACCTTTGCCTTTATAAGCACAGCACACATTACTGTATCTGCCTTTTCAAAAAGAGAAATTTAAATGTCTCATTAAAGAAATGTACTTTTTCCTCTTATCGACAGTAACAAAAAACTTCAGAAAATATTTGGTTCCAAATCTCCTCAATATGCAAGCTATCTATTTATACTAATTATTCAAGTCTTGGGAGACTGAAAAGCAGAGATAGAATTCTCATGAGAAAAAAACAACTCTTTGTCACATGTGAGCTTTCATAAAATTCACTGCTTTTATTTAGAGTAGATTCAGATTAAGAAAGAATAGAATGTCTGGTATTTTAATTTAGCTAATGACAATAATAAATGTTGATAATAAAATTATAGTCATGGTAAATGTGCAGGAATATTTCTTTATTTAATTTGGCTGTGATGACATCATGAAATATACAGGCTATGTCCTTCAGGCACCCTTGTTCATTTTCTCTGAAACTAATCAAATAGAATACCAAATATTAGAACAAGTATTTGATTTTTTGTGTGATGTGGTAAAACCACAGAGTCAAAAATGTATTAAATCTAGTGAACACATTCTGCCATATTCGAGAAGATATTCTCCAACTCAGGGAAGTTTTCATGACGTTAGCTTACCTTGGCTTACTCTATTATATCTCTCTCCATGTTCACTAAATGATTCTCAGTTTCCCCAAAGTGCTAAAGCTGAAGTTCAAATACAAATCTATGTCAAACATCCACTTATGTTCCATTGGTTTCCTATATAACATAAAGTTCCACATAATTTGACAACTTTAGGTAAGGTTTAGAAACATTTGTTTTTTGTTAATTACAATATACTAATATTAGATTTTGTTCAGTTATTAATATCCTTTGAATCTTCAACCTGAGCCAACTAAAAAAAGTTCATTAATTTTAAAGCCTAGACTTTGGTGTTCATCAAACAATGAAATGTAAAAAAAAAAACAATTTTTGCTATAATTAAAATTACCTTTTTTACAAAATGCATGAGAACCTAATCTAACCAAAATTTTATTGAACACTGGGTATTGTGGGTGACTGGTGTGTTGTGTGTCTGTGTGTTAGGAGATGACATTTTAAGTAGAAGTAAAAGTAAAAGGCAAACATAGAGTAAAAGGGCTGCCATTTGATATTGCTGGAACTTTATTATATATTTTAGTAATTTCAACTTTGATTTTATATTCAAGGTGTACACACACAGGTTTGTTACATGCTGAAACTTACCATACAAATGGCAGATTCATAGGAATAAGCAGACTTAGCAGATGTGAAAGGTTGAAAATTGAGGGCGACAGTGGCCTGTTTTGATTACCACCGTATCCCAGCTCTGAGAAAACTGCCTAAAACATTAAATATAATTGATAACTGTTTGTTGCATTAATAAATATAGGCAAGTGGTTAAAAAGAGCAAGTATCTTTTACCTAATTTCTCTGCTAATTCTAAACGGTACGGGCCTGTTTGAATGACACTACATTTAAGTTTTCACATTTTCAAGTTATTTTTGCAAGTGTCGACAATGTTGTAACTATAGACTCTCTTATATCTCCTAACACAGACTAATCTCAGTCTCAATATTGGGGAAGCAGACTATCAGCCTCAGGTTCCCTCTCCTTTCTCACCTTCTCACTTAGTTTACCCACTGCCACAATCACACCTTGACTAGAAACATATTTACACCCATAAAATAATAACGTTGAAGTAGGTCCAGTATCCTTGTAACGTTTTGAGCAGTAACCATTAACAGGCACATGTGACACCCTCCTAGGATTGCCCAAAAAGGAGAGACAAAGACTACCCCAGAAAAAGAGGAACAAAGATGGCTGTTTTACGATGCATCACATTAAACTACCTGTCCCTTATATTAGTCTGGACTAATCAACCCAGATTACTGGTCCTTTTTAGTTAACAAGTAGACCTTGGCAGATATACCCCTGTATAGGTTCAGGACCCCTAAAAAATGTGATAATGATTTGTAATGCAACAGAAACAAAGTGAAAGACCACTGAAGAAGATGCTTTATCGAAGTGTCTAAATTTTTGGATGTTCCCCTTAATAGGAAATCCTATTAATAGAATGATATAATCCGTAATAGATATCATTCTAACAAAGTCAGTACTAATAGATAGAATTCTTAATAGAATGTCTTAGCGGATATACAGTTTTATTTATCTTTAGTCAAACCTGCAACATTTTAATAAATCTGGTACACTCATCTATGTCTGTATGGTTTTGAAAATTAAAGAGATGGAATCAACAAAAATAATTATTATTTTTCATTTATTCTGTTAACTTGTCACCGTGCTGTAAGATAGCATTATGGCATGTGAACAGAGTCATACTATATTTCCTTTTACCCATGACTGTCACCTTGTTTCCAGACCCCTCTCTCATTTCTTAATCTATTTCAGCCAGTAATGAGAGGCTTCCTTGCTTTTTGCCTCAAAGGTTGAATGTTCTGGAAGAATAGGGAAAACAAGAAGTTTTTTATGGATTTTAGACTTTGATAGTATGGGATTTCTGGGTAAGACATGTATATCTCATCTCTACACAGAAAATAATAGATTTAGGAGAAATCAAGTGAGGTATGAGCAAGGTTTCTCACTCCTAACCTTACACTATGAGGGAGTATTAGAGGGTCAGAGAGGAAGAAAAAAGGACTAAGATGCTGAAGACAGCACTGGCTGGGGCCTTGACCTCTGATTTCACATGCATCATCAAAGGCAAGAGAGAAGACTAGAGAAATTCACATAGATTTGGGTCGATCTGCATCCTGACACACATTTAATCCCTTTTCTTGGTACATCTCAAGGAAGTACTCAGATCCTAAAATAGAAATGGTTGCAGGAAGTGTTTATCAGACAGGCTTTGAGGGCCATCAAAAAGCAAACCCATAACCCTCAAGACAGAAGGCAGCAGAATAATTCCTCTGGTGGCGCCCAGAAAGCCTGGAGGTGGTGAGGTAACACCGTAGATGGCCAGTGAGTTTCTCACGGCTCTATCATGAGGGAAAAGCAGCAGAACGATCACACGCAATAGCGAGGGCAACACAGTTCGGTTAATGAGAGTCAAACTCAAATATCCCCTATTGTTAGGCAAGTGATAACTGGGTGGCTTCCTTGGCAGATTGCAGATTGCCACCAAGAGCAAAAGCATCTCATCAAATACCCAGATGTATCATTAAGACTCACAGCAGATGGCAACTCCTAGAACCTTCAGGAGAAAACTGGTCCTACAGGAATGGGGGAAACCTTAAACTGAGATGAATTTCCTTTCACCTTGTGGAATGGTTGCCTATGCTGGAAAATCAGTTACATTATAGAAAATACAAAATTACATTTTTTTGCACTCTTGAGTTTTGTGATTAAATTGAAACTCAAAATCTGCCGCTGTATAGAATCAGCTACAAGCTTCCCCATATGGCACAGAGATGAGGTAAGTCCTTGAAGGAGTGAATGCAACTGGGAGGAAGAGAGGAGCTGTTCCCAGGATAGCAATTCAGAGAGACTTGGGAACAGAACTCAACTTCTAATATATTCTAAAAAAGAAGAATTTGTAAAGTCTGCTTTAAAATCTTTAAGATGGGCAGAGAGGTGGAGGTAGATTCTTATGCTGCAAATAACACTGTTTTCTTACCTTTGAAAAAACACATGTATAATTTGTTAGTAGTAAAAAGAGATCATACCTGCAAACTACTTAGATTAATTGTCTGCATAAAAGTAGGTGCCCAAATTTTCTTCATTTTCCTGTATTATCCTTTAGAGATGGAGCTAGATTCAGGCAGAAACATTCGTATTTTGCTGTCTTATGGTATTGGGAATGAAAATAAGAAAAGGCAATTGAAGGATCAATAAGTCAATCTAGAAATTTTAATTTTAAAGCACTAACTTTAAAAAATAGCAAAAAAGCCAGAATCCATTAAAGAAAACCACCCAATTGTGTATAAAACACACATATACTTTATTTTACATATTTCTATTTTTATGTAAGAGAATGTGTTTTTCTAATCATTCTCATTTGCCTGCTCATTGAGCTGTTCATTCATTTTAAACTGTTCTGCATTTCCCTGTGCAAGAAATTCTGAGTGGATAATTTTGATTAGTAGCTCTTTCTGGATACACTTCTTTTTGTTCTTATTTTCAACTGTTACAGTTTTACTTTTTATTTTAATATGGCTTTTCATTTTATGACTTGTGATTTAGACTAATGTCTTTGATGTGAGCCATTAATGCAGCGATTTGATCATTTTACATTGACAAAGATATGAAATACATTCATTTATTCCTTTAATAAGAAATGTCATACCATAGGCATTTAATAAGTAATTGTACATGAGAAAATGAAGGTCTGTCAGTGTCTCTGTTAAGTAAAAGCAACAAATCATGTAATTTCTATCTTTTTAAAGAGATAGGTCTTTTTGAAGATAATGATACAATGAGAAAAATCTAGAAAAGAAGATTTTAAAGAAATTTATGGGTAAAATAAATAGACTCTTGCATGCAATATGGGTCTACCATAGCACCCAGGCAATCTTGATCTCATCTGCATTGGCCATGTGAGTAAGACTCAACACAATTCTAGTGAAATGTACTGTGATCTTCCCTAGAACGTGGAAGGACAGTCTTGTGAGGACCTATCACAAGGCCATTTCTCGTTCACCTGGTAAATTGCAAGAGGCTGCTGAAAGGCAGCTTCTCATCTGACTCTTGGTTCCAGTTAGGAAGCGTAGGACTTTCTATCTTTTGGATACAGCTGCAGTGTATAAAAGTGCTTGCTGTAGTTTAGAGTTGGCTTTCTAAAGACAGAGCATCCCACTATTCATGTTGTCTATCATCTGTCTCACCCATTTTGTGTGGTGTTGTGGGACTAGATTGTCAAGAGCTGACACCACTGATAGTGCTTTTTCTGTCTGTGAAAGTGTTAAACTTTCTAACTCCACTGGGGCTCACTGTCTCCCTATGAGGTAACTGTAAGTGCAGCAAGCCAATCCAGAAGCTTCCAAAAGGTTGCTACTTAGAAATTGCTTGACCGCTTGACAGGCAAAGAGAATACAAGTACTAATAATAATCTACCATGTGTAGATGGTAGAACCCTCATCGTTGCTGGACTCATACTAATCTTAATTTCACATGTTTCCCTCTATTTGTATGTCTTCCTTTCTTCAAGTATATGATCTTTCCTTTGTTTTACTAGACGGATTGAGGTTTCTTCATTTATCTGATAATATAAATATTATCATTTATTCATTTCTGTGTGTGTATATATATATAAGAATATTTACAAAAATGATAAAACACAGTATGACTATAAATGTTTATAAATTTTCATTTTTAAGAAGGAGAAACTAAAATATACTTTTTAGAAACTGAAATATACTTTTTGAGGGGAAACATGGTGTTTGTGGGTATTCTCTGCAATTTTTTTCTACCCTCTTCTAATGTTCTAAATGTTTGCCATTTAATTCATTCTGGAAAATGATCAGCTATTACTTGCCTCCTCCTTCCAACAAGTCAAACCTTTCCATTATGAAGCTTATCACTTCACTGTGCATCATTTACTCTTGACTTCATCTTCTTTTTCTGCCTCTGAGAACAATTTGACTTTTAAAGTCTTACATTATTTTTATTATTAATATTTTATTTTCTCCTAGATCTTTTGCACATCAGATAATCATGCTCAGGGATCCTTTATGATTATAAAAGTAAACAAACTGGAAAGTCATCTAAGCGTATATCCAACCATTGTTTTTTCTTTTTCATTATCAAACTTCTTGAAGACTATAAAATAACCTACACTCATCCCTCCCACGTGCCCACTTGTTTACACTCCACTCCTTTCTCAACCTACCATAATGTGGCCAGTACTTCATGCACTCCACCGAAATAGTGAATGAAGTCATACCTAACTAACTACAATTTTTCACCCTTTTAAATAAATGTATTTGCATCTTATAATACCTACAACAAGGTATTATTCTAGATTTTTCTCTAACTGTATGTCCACTGATTTCTAAATATGCTTTAGTGTTATCTCCTTTGTCTTTCCCTAAATACAGATATTTTTCAGTTTCTTTACTTGAATCTCCTTTTTTTATAATTTTCTTTCCTTGAAGATCTCATTGAGTTTCATAGTTTAATAATTACATTTATGTGCTTCATTATCATACTTGTGTTTATAGCCCACATATTCTTCTGAGCTACATTTTCAGGCATTTATAGGGAAATTTTATTGGGTACCTTAATACCTTAATAGCCCCTTAGAATCAATACATTCAAATACTGCTCAGCATCTTCAATATCCATATGCTGCTTCTATGCATTCCTTATCTCTACAACAAATCTGTCTATTTTCTCAGTCCTTCTAGAACCATCATTCAAGCCTTTTGTACATTCAATTGTCAATTACTCCCTCAGCCTTTGACAAGCCCTCTTTACTCTTCCAATGTCTTTAAAGCAACCTCCTTTCCTTTAGCAATCCAACTGTTCTAATTTAGGCCTTCCTTCCAACTCTTAAAATAGGCCTTTCATTGATCAGCTTATCGCCAACATTTCTTCCTCACATAAGTCACACTTCTATGTCAGATATGCTCATTTGGGTACATGCAACTATCACTTTCCTCTCTAATGAGGAAGTCCCAGTGTTGCTTTGGTGTTCACCATCACTTGTCCCTAGAAACAATGTCTCTCTGTAGACCCTTGGGGTTAATCACCATATATCTAATTTAATCATGTTTATTTTATTTCCCTGGACAGTAATTTCTTTTATCAGGGCCTGTGACCCATTCCTGGCCAATTGTACCTAATGGTACTTAGCTTCTGGGAAAAGTTTTACTTACATATTGAAAGAGATCTGAGATCGGAAATGTCCCTGTTTTTAACAGGACGTTAGAGTTCTGCATTTGAAGCTTTGAACTGGTGCAGCTATCTTTCAGGCATGAAGAAAGACATCACTAGTACATGGGTATGGCGAAGCAGATGGATTGAAAGTTCTGGACTTTAATAAAATGACTGATCAATTGATGTTGCCAACCCTGAAACCATAGTATCTTTACTAACTCATAACAAGCCACTTACATTCAAACCCTTTTAATGTTGATTAAGTTAATTTGTGTTTGGCTGTTATTTGCATCCAAAAGCATAGCTGCTGCAATGCAAATCACTTCACTTTACTTTTAATTGTTCTCTATTCCCTCCAGAATAAATTGTAACACTCTTAGGATAGTATTTAAGGTCCTACATTAACTGACCATGACATACTTTTCCGGTTTTATATTCTGAAATTATTCTTTGAACCTTTAATAATCTACCCAAAATAACCCATTAATTCACTGTTGTTGAACATATTTTAGAATCTTTCTCTAATTTGCTTGGCAGCAATTTCCTTTCCACTTATAATAGCTTCTCCTACCTTTAAACCTTATTTCTATTGAAACATTTATGATCATCCAAGGCTGAGTTCAAAAATAACAATCTTCATGAAGTTGCCCTAGTTCTATGGTTGGAATTTAAAAACTCTTCATATGTGGGGTATTTATGTCATGTGGGAATTTTCTTCTAGCACCTGCCACAGTCTCTTTTGTATTAGAAACCTTTGTGCAGTTTCCTCTTTATCTTTGTAGACTCAATTTTACTTAGCAAAGTATGTCCCTGATAAAGTTGTTAGTCAAAATTACAAACTTGGCTGGGCATATTGGCTCATGTCTGTAATCTCAATACTTTGTGAGGCTGAGGCAGGAGTATTGCTTGAGGCCAGGAGATTGAGACTAGCCTGGGCAACATAGCAAAACTCCATGTATTAAGAAAAGAAAATCTGTAACTGAAACAGGGCAAACTAAAACAAAATCTTTAACCCCCTAGCCCACGGACTAAAAACACATGCTGACAGTCATTCTTACTTTAGGGTACAGTAATTGTGATTTCTGAATTATGTGTCAGGGAAATGTTATACTTGTGTACCTGGACACATTGACATAAATGTGCATTGTGGCACTGTTCATAGTTTAAACCAATTTAAATGAACTAAGTGTCCATTGACAAAAAAAAAAAAGAAATTAAATGTTATTTAATTCATACTATTAAATGTTAAACAGGCATAAAAATAAATGCACTAAACCTGTATATGTCAATGTAAGTAATTCTTCAAACTTCGACATGGAGTCAAAAGAGAAAATTGTATGATATAGAATATTATTTTGAAATTTCAGTACTAAGAGGGTAACCAATATCAGGAAGGAGGCCTGGAAAAAACATCTTGACTTGAAGGAAAGAAGGATTTCAAAACTGTAAACTGATGGACAGAACTCTTAGAGCATGAAAGTAAAAGAATACCTGTTATTAAGTGACACCAGTGAAAAGTCATGGTATCCAAAGAACATGAAAATGTTTTACCTTCTTTCCCAATCCTCTGAATAGGACTTAAATTCTCTGCATATGCACTCCTCATTACCGTCTTCCCTCCTCTCTCAGAAAGAGAAATCTTTCTCCCTATTCCAGGCTAATTATTATCCCTGTGTTGCAGATATCATTCACTCCAATGTCTTGGGAACTTCACATCTACAGTTATGTATTCACTCCCTTGTCTTTCCAACTTCTATATAGTATAATTTCTTATCTTTTTATAGTTTATAAACTTCTTATCTCTCTCTCCTCTTGTGTTTTAACAGATGACTTATTTTTAGGAAATGTTTAATTCATGCTGCCTTCATTGTCTAAATTACCATTTAAACTTTAGTTCATAGCACTTTTCTTCCTGTTCGTTAGCATTTACCTAGCTGTCTTAGCATCTCCCAAAAAATCCTATTCACCAAATCCAGTAAACAGTCACTGAAAATTATTTTTTGTTGACTCCAAATGTTGCATGTTATTTAACCAACCCTCTTATAATGGAAACCCTGTTTATACTTGCTTTTTTTTTTAACACAAGTGTTGTATTATAGAATAATTTTAGATTTACACAAAAGTTGAGAAAGTAGTACACAGAGTTCTTGTATGCCCTAGGCTCAGTTTCTCCTATTATTATCTTATATTAGTATGGTACATTTGTGCCAATTAGTGAAACAGTATTGATACATTATTATTAAATACAGACCATTCTTTTTCAAGGTCCCTTCCAGGACACCACTTTACATTTAGCTGCAATGTCTCCTGAGGGTTCTCTTGGTTATGTCAGTCTCTCAGACTTTCCTTTTTTGATGACCTTAAAGGTTTTGAGGAGTACTGCTTTGGCATTTTGAAGAATATCTTTTAATTGAGATTCATCTAATGTTTATCTTACTATTAGATTAAGGTTATAGATTTTTGATGGAAGGCCACAGAAACAAAGCGTCATTCTCATCACATTCTATCAATGATATAGACTAGCAGCAGAATTTATCACTGTTGATAGTATTCTGATGAAGTTTAACATTAAATAAAGTTACTTTTTTGCCCCCTTTCCATACTGCAGTTTTTGGAAAAAAAAGTTTCTATGTTCAGACCACACTTAAGGAGTGGGAACTTATATTCTACCTCCTTTGAGTATCCACATAAATTATTTGTAATCCTTCCACACAGCAAAGTTGTGTGATATCATCTATCTCTCTATTCACTTATGCGTTCATTTGTATTAGTATGGACTCATGGATATTTGTTTTATACTTTGGGTTATAATCCAATTTTATTTTATTTTATTTTATTTTATTTCATTTTATTTTATTTTATTTTATTTTTGAGAGAGTCTCACTCTGTCACCCAGGGCTGGAGTGCAGAGACACAATCTCGTTCACCACAAGCTCCACATCCTGGGTTCAAGGGATTCTCCTGCCTCAGCCTCCCAGGTAGCTGGGATTACAGGTGGATGCAACTGTGCCTGGCTAATTTTTGTAGTTTTAGTAGAGACCAGGTTTCACCAAGTTGGTCAGGCTGGTCTCAAACTCCTGACCTGAAGTGACCCATCCACTTCAATCTCCCAAAGTGCTGTGATTACAGGTGTGAGCCACCACATCCGGCCTTACAATTTTATTTTGTTGCTTAAATTGTCCTAGCTTTGGCCATCAGGACCTCTTTCAGTTGGTTCTTGTGTCCCTTTGACATATCCCATTCATTATGGGCTTATTTCCTCACTGCACTTTTTTTTTTTTTGAGCACTTTCTTGCTCTGTGGCCCTACAAAGATGCTCACAGTTCATCTTATATCTTTTCTGCCTTAGGCTAAGTGTCAACCATTTCTTCAAGAAGGCCTGGATTCTTGGAGAATGGTATTAAAAACCAAAATCTTGGTGCTAGTGTAGCTTCCCTTACTTTTTAAGCACTATTTCTATTTCTCTGTTTTCCCACCTTATTATTTCTTCTTCATTTCTTTTTTGAGATGGAGTCTTCCTCTGCTGCCCAGGCTAAAGTGCAGCAAAGTGAACTCAGCTCACTGCAACCTCTGCCTCCCCAGTTCAAGCTATTCTCCTGCCTCAGCCTTCCAAGTAGCTGGGATTACAGGCAGGCACAACCACGCCCAGCTAATTTTTGTATTTGTAGTAGAGACAGGGTTTCACCATGTTGATCAGGCTGGTTTCGAACTCCCGACCTCAGGTGATCCTCCCGCTTCAGCCTCCTAAAGTGCTGGGATTACAGGTGTGTGTCCCTGCGCCCGGCCTTTCATTTCTTACATATGTTCCTTTCTCTGTGTCTATCCCGCTTACTTGTTTTTTCTGTTTGCTAGCTATTTGTTCTAATTTTTATTCTCCTCCACTTACGGTCTCTGCTGGATGAATTCACCATTAGAAAAGAATAACCATCAGCTGCCTCTGGATGCTCCAACAAGATCTCCTCTCACTATTTTCCAGCCTCCCAGATTAGGACTCAGTGGGTAAGCTCCAGTCAGTGGAGTGGTTCTTTGAAGTTTTTACTCGCGCTTTGGGTCCATTTGCATTCTCCAATCTACCTGTACAAAACAGATTTATTTCTAGGAGTTTAGATCCTTGCTTTAGCCCATTTATAAAATAGATAACTTTTATTCTTCTTTGGATCCTTCTATTTTCCCTTGGTTGTAACACTGGTGAGCAGAAAGAATGAAGAATCAAAACTCCCTAATTTGAGAGGCCATTTAGTCTCATTATTTAAATATATACTTATATGTTCACTAGTAACAATATGTACCTCTAGTCTAAGTCACTTTCCCAAAATTTAAGACTGAGAATTTTAAATAAGATGCAGTCACTCAGGTGTCCCCCAGACATCTGAAAATCATCATGTCTAAGCTTTCCTCATTATCTCACCATTTACTCTTCCCATATTCTATAGCCTGGAAATTGTTTTAACATAAACCTGTTTACTCAAGCAGTAAAAAGAGGACTCAGCCTTAGCAACTTCTTGTATTTTCTGCCACCTAATCCAGTGCTAAGCAAGACAAGTTGATTCTGCTTTTCTAATGCATGTAGGCTTCTCTAAAGCCTCTTAAATAATTCTTTAGTGCTTTTATGTCACCACTCCTCTTAGGGAAATTTGCTTAGATTAGCATACAAATTTTGAATCCTCTTCTTTACTTTCAATTATAATTTCCCTAGTTTATTGTCCGCACGACTGCCAATATTATCCTTCCTGAATATAAAGCTAATCATAATACTCTATTGTCTTCAGAACAAAGTTAACACTCAATTTCCCCCACCCCAGCATTTTTTTTAAGTCATAGCAAATAAGACACACAGCTAACTTCAAACACAGTACTTTTTCACATAGAAATCCTTTTGCCAGGAGTTCATTTCTCTCTCTGTGCTTACTAACCTTTGTTTGTTCCTCACCTTTCATTTTCTTCTAGTTTACTCACTCATCTGTTAAGGCTTAGTTCAGCAGTAAGACCCATCCATCTATAAGGTATGAGTTAATGGGCATTTTTTCTGAGCTTGCAGACCCTTCACCATGTGCCTAACTCTCTCCTAGATTTAAACAGTAATCTGAGTTTAGTATCTGTGTATCAATTATGGGAAGGGGATGCAATTCATTTACTCTATATTGCAGCCTCCTACTTTCAAATTGAATGGTATGGGAGATTTGTGAGAGCCTGATACTTATTGGGTTATTTTTTTCAGAACACAGAGCTAAAATGTTGAGGCCATGAGACCCATACCTGGCACATTCACTATTGTTTTTTCTGCCAGTCTGCTTAGGTAGAATGGTTTTCCTTGTTGTTTGTGTCTGCAATAGTCATCAGCTATGTCTGGGTGCTCCCAAAATGTCTCCTCTCACTTTGTTCAAGCACAAAATTAGAAACATTGGTGGCGATGGATAAATGTTTGCTAAATAAAAGAACTAAGAGTAATAGAGGATTTGAAGCTACTGATTAAGCCAGTTGCTGAGGTTATAGTGTAGAAGGCACAATTGGTGTCAGTGCCAAAGGACACTTTTTTCAACAATCACTATCAGACTGTTCATTTTTTTTCAATTTGCACAGTTAATATTGTTCCATTCTTATGTAACTACTTTAAAAACAATCCTTATGTCCTAACTACATCCTAACCAAACCAATTTCTACCACAAACTTCCTATATCTGTTAATATTAGCTATGGTAATTTTTAAAAATCCCAACTCAGACTAGTTTATGAATACAGAAATCTGTCATTTCAAATGGTAAGATATCCAGGGATATAATGGCTAAGCAGTGCAACATGACTCTTAATTTCTTTAGATTTTTTTGATGCGATCACGATCTCTATGTGATTCATCCTCAAGCTCTGTCAAGGAGACTGCAGAATTCCTAAGCCTGATATTTAGACATGACAATATCCTGAAAAATAAATGGCCCCTTCTTGCTCCTTGAACTTGTAGTAGAAGCAAACCTATACATTTATCTATTTCTATTTTTATTATCTCATTACTCATTTTTAATCATTAGGTAATATGTGGATCTTAATTTTGATTCTCCAAAAGCTGACACTGAGATAAGAATTTAAGTGGAATAATTATCTGGGAAGTAATTTCAGGAAGCACCATGAGAGTGTCATAGGAACGCAGGGTAGGTAGGCAAAAAAAGAAAAAATGAGTTACATTCTGAGTGAGGTAGTTAACTCTTGCCAGATATCCTTTCACGGACTGTGTAGAAAACATGTGAGAATGGTTGCACCAACAGGCAAGGGAAGCTGGTATGTTTTTCCTTCAAATCTTGTCTTTCTCCCTGGCACTTCTGTTGACTTTGCTTATGGTCAAGAACCTTATGTTGGCCAAGAAAACCCTTGGGCAGATGGATGCAGCTGATTCAGATAAGAAGTTGAGGGTATATACAGAAAGAATCTACTGAAGGTGCAGATGACATTTGGGGTGTGCCAAATAGAAGAGGGCAAAAAGAGTGTCTGCTACAAAGCCCATCCCAGAATAATTTATCACTAGGATTAATTGAAAGATAATTTTTCACATATGCTTCTCAAATTTGATGGATGAATACCTGGAGTAACCGCCATGGTTACTATTCCCTCTATAAAGGGTTTCTGAGTTTATAATGAGGAAATGAATCTAAGCCAAATAATTACAGTTGGTTTTCATTATTGTAACTTAATTTCACTTTCCATTCAAATAAAATATAGTCAAACCTAGTACAATAAAATCTGATTAACTTCTCTGTTTTTACTAAAGACTTCAATTACAATGCTTGGTTTTATTCCTCCTAGAATTCTGCTTTTTACTATTCTTGTTTTTCTATTAGTTCACTTGCCTCCACAATAAAACTTTAAGATTCTGAAAATAGTCAATATCATTCCTTCCTCTACCAATTAAAAAAGAATGACTTACAGACAAAAAGTAGTTTAAGACAAAAAAAAATTCGAGATTTAAAAGTTTTAACATTAGGCCTTATTTGCTTTATCTCTCTATCTATATGCCTGTATAAAATTATATCAGTGTATCTTCATTATCATTATCATTCTCTCTCTGTTCATCCATCTAGATTCACAGTATTTGTCAAACTAATTGAATGTGAGTTGAACCCATGATAACATTTCACCTCTAAATAATTAAAGATAGATTCTCAAAGAACAGAGGCAATCCTCTTTATAACCACGATAACACTCAGTAAATTCAACAGTGATGAAAATGTTATATAATATACAAATTCATATTTAAATTTCTCAAATTGTCCGAATAATGCTCTTAGTTGGCTTGTTTTTTTAATCCAGAATAAGAATAATTATGCATTGCATTTAGTTGTCAAGTCTTTTATATTCTGTATTAGTCAAGATTCTCCAGAGAAACCGAAAAAATAAGATGTATGTACAAAAATGTATTTATGGTAAGGATTTAGCTCACACAATTATGAAGGCTGCAAGTCCCAAGATCTGAGGGGTGAGTGGGCAAACTGGAGACTCAGGAAAGCCAGTGGTTTTTTTTCAGTCTGAAGGCTGACAGGGTTGAGATCTAGGAAGCATCACTATTTCAGTTACAGTCTGAAGGCAGGACAAAAACAGATGTCCCAGTTTAAAGGCCATCGGGCAGGAAGAATACTTCTGTGTTCAAGGGAGAGTTAGCCTTTTCGTTCTCTTCAGGCCTTCAACTGATTGGACGAGACCCACTCCCATGAGGGAGAGCTAGCCACAAATTTAAATGTTACTTAGTCTACCAATTTAAATGACAATCTCATCCAACAACACCCTTACAGAAACACCCAGAATAATGTTTGATTAAATATCTGGGCAACCTATGGCAAATCAAATTGATGCATAAAATTAACCATAAAAGACTCAATCTAAAATGTCTTCTTCACTTAAAAAATTTTTTTGATTATTCATGGCAGTAAATTTTTTAAAGATCTTGACTAGCTTTCTTTTTTTTCATAACTTTATTTTAGAATAGTTTCAGATCTACAGAAAAATTGCAAATACAGTCCAGAGAGTTTGTTTATAATCTCTCCACTATTTTGAACTTCTGACATTACCATGATACATTTTCCAAAACTAAGAAGTCACATTGGTACATTATGATTATCTAAAATTCAGACTTTGTGTGAATTTTAGCAATATTTCAATTCCCATCTTCTTTCTCTTTTAGGGTCTGATCTAGGGTACCACGTTTAATTTATTTGTCATGTTTCCCAGATATCCTCTGGTCTAGGATGGGTGCTGAGTCTTTTGTTGTTATACATTACCTTTACAGTCTTAATGAGTACTACAGAATATCCCCCCGTCTGGGGTTGCCTTATTATTTTTTTAAAAATTAGCCATGGGTAATGGGTTTTTGGAAAAGGTACCACAGAGGTGAAGTTACTTTCTCTTCTCATCATATCACAGGGCATATGATAGCCATGTGGTCTCACTAATGATGTTGTTAACATTCACCACTTCCTTAAGGTAGTGTTTGACAGGTTTCTTCACTGTAACTGTACTGTTTTTCCTTCCCCACTCTATTTTTGAAAGCAAGTCTCACTAAAGCCTAGAAAACCATAGGTAGGGAGGGGAGTGGTAGAAATTAAACTTCACCTCCAGTAGAGGAAAGTATCCACACTATTATTAACAATTCTTCTGCATGGGAGATTTGTATATTTATTTATTCATTCAATCGTCTATTTATATCAGTGTGGACTCATGTCTATTTCTTTTATACTTTGTAAATTAAAAGAAATATACTTATGTATATGTACTTATGTATATTTATTTTATACTTTAAATATGCTCATATGTATTTCTTTTATATTTATGATCCAAAACTACTTTATTAATCTGTGGCTTGAATTGTTCCACTTTTCGCCATTGGGAGCTCCTTTACCAGATCAGTTTTGTGATCGTCACTCACTATATTCCTCTTTATATTCACCTTTCCTTTCCCTCATATCTCATGTCTATGCTATGAAACAGGATGGAAATTCAGTACTTTTAGATCACTGAATTTCAACATAACATATCACTAAGAAAAATACTTTTCCATTCTATATTTAAAAGCTTATAAACCTACTGTCCATCACTTGATTGACAAATTAACAAATGGACATTATTAGAATACGTTTACTATTTTAAAAATTAGAACTCATAAATATAAAATATAAGCTACCAAAGCCATCTGTTGAAGAAATCTTGATACTTAAAAAGACTTTCTTTCCCTGACACTTGAAGATCTCTCCTGCCTTTCATATGCGGTCCTAAATATGACAGCTGCATGGGTGATTGGCTCTCTCACCTCTGAAATTTAAATTCCACATGCTTACTATGTCACTTTATCTAAAATAATGTATAGTAATGGAAAGGCCACTGATATTTATACATAGACATATTTGTATGTTAGCAACTTACATTGCCACCAGTGTGCAAGGATGCCTCAATATGTCACTTGCATTTGACAGAAAGCTTATTGCTTTAATTTTTCAAGAAGGGCATGAATATTTTTATATTTCCTCTAAATTTAAAATGATCTAGTGTCAAATGGCATTTTTTAAAAAGAAGTTTGGTTTTCAAGCAAGAATTTATGTTATATCGTGACTACTGATTGGAATGTAGCAAATAACATACTAAAAACAAGGCTAAACTTATCACCGCATCTTATCTGCTATTTTTATGCTTTTGTATATAGCCTTTAGCTATTACATATAAAAGTAGAGATGTGAAGTGGTATAATAGACTAATATAAAGTGCAGAATTCTAGCTTCATGAGTTAATATTTCTCATCCAAATCACATAGAGAAAACAACAATCTCTTAACAATAGTGTTATAGAATAAGATAATGTAAGCAAATAAAATACCTAGAACAGTACTTAAAATAGAGTAGGTACTTGATCTCTTTTACTACCTTCCTCCTTCACAAGCAGGTATTGACAAGATTATATTTATAAATAAAACCCATTATAAATGTAATTTTATTTTTAATGTGCATTAATATTTTGTGGTTCAAACTTGAATTGATTAACCTTCACATATTATCACCTCTCAATGTAAAAGAATACTTAGTGTTGCTATTTAGTAGTCTAGAGCAGTGGTATAAATTCTCATAAGTAAAAGTCATATTTAACATTTTTATACTAAAATGCATGCATGTATTTTCTTTAAAAACTTTAAAAGTTCTGAAAATGGTAATGAACATTTTGTAATTATTTCACATAGCAAATCAAGCCACACATGTCACCTATTGAGAAAAATCCTCCCAAACAAGGGTGCCCTTTGGTGATCAGACTTTGTTTGGGCCCTGAACCTGCTTGCCTCTGGCCACCTCATTACTCCCTTCCAGAGGATTTGGCACTTGTTCTCTCGAGGTTGGGCTATTTAGGGTGAGAGCCAGGGGAAGTAACAGAGAAAAAATGGAATAGGAGCTTCAAAATCATATTTGTTTCCTAATTGTTCTCCAGTAAAATCAAAAACATTTCTCATAAGCTAGAGTGAAACTCCTCTGGAGCACATAGGCTCCAATTTTATGATGTTATTTTGCTACTTCTTTTCCCAATTAAGGCTTATTTTAAATTCATTTGTATTTGATATTGCCTCTGGAAAATGATAGGGGACGGAGCTAATGATGAACTCATGTGTTGTGATCTTTAATCCCAACATGTGGATCTGTTGTTTTTCCTAGTGTTCTATAGTTGTAAGATAGGTGTTTTTGGAAGCCACATGAATGCCACCAGGGTTAAAGAAATATACATAAATAAATAATTATCTCTCAATGAATTTGATTATTTCAGTGTTCTAAAAGCATGATTATTCTTTCCATGGGTGTATAAAATTATCAAGGACCATTTTAAACAGTGTAAAAATTCAAAGCCATCATAATAATATCCACTGTTGCCCACACATGTTAGCAATATTATTTCCTGGACCTCATAAATGTGTGTGCATTTTATGCCTAATATATGTCAATTCTAATTAAAACACTGTTTAGTTTATTAAATAATGCAAAATATCATATAAAATTTAAATGGTTATATAGTTTACTACCAGAGGCATAATTTAAGCTATGTGGCAAACGTGTATTTACTCATCTCAAAATTTAAAAAAAATTCTTTTTCAAAATTTCAACTTTTCTCCTAGATAGAGGGAGCGTATGTGCAGATTTTTTACATGGGAATATTACGTGATGGTGAGGTTTGAAGTACAGATCCCATCATTCTGTTAGTGAGCACGGTACCGGATAGGTAGTTGTTTAACTCACGCCCTCTTGCTTTAACCTCTAGTAGCCTATGGTGTATGTTATTCCTACATTTATGTCCATGTGTACTCAATGCATAGCTCCCACTTGTAACTGAGAACATGCGGTATTTGATTTTTCGTTCCTGTGTTAATATGCTTAGGTTTATGGCCTCCAGCTTCATCCATGTTGTTTCAAAGGACACGATTTCATTCTCCAAAATTAAAGAAAATACTCTTATTTATTAGACTTATAATAACTAAATATGTAGTTACACTTAAAAAATGGATCCTGAGCATAAGAAAGTAATCTACATAAGCTCAGTTAATAGAATATCAACACATTTCCTTTGCTATGTGATACTCGCTTTGAATACTAAATATTTCAAAAGGTCTTTTCCCAGATCTTTTTGTGCATAGGCAATGTGAAGAACAAAATAAAAGCTCAGACATGATAGTTAATATTCACCTGTCCTGCTAATTCAGTTAAGTACATTTTTATCTACATCATGTGTTGTATAAAATAGCTTCTGTGGCTTTAATTACAAATTTTGACTGGAGATAAGAGGAGATTCTTCCAGTAGGAATGAAAACTATTATAAACAGTTTATAAATAGCAATATATAAAAGTCCCTGTTTTCATTTCTGTGCTTGTATCTATAGCTATGGAAAGAATTCTCAGAAAATATCAATCTTCATTTTATGATGGTTGGCCTGTTTTCTTATAAAACCCTAAATATCATTAAATACATCAAAAATTAGTAAGGGAAACAACATCCAGTTCAATACTGAAAATATAGAATGCAATTCAAGCAATCATAAATTTTCATAATAAAATCATGTCAACTGAAGCGTGTACTATCTATTTTATTCAAACTCTCTATAAAGCACTTGTTTTTAAAAAAGAAGACAATTGTTTCACTTACTATACATACAACATGTTTAGGATTAGTCCCCATATCAATTGTTTTTCTTATGCTACCACTAAACACCAATACTAACAAGTCCATAGATGTTACTCTTGGTTTTACAATTTTGGTTATTATAAAACTGAAACTAAGGAAACAAGTACATGATTCATAAATATTCATACCCTTCAACATTATGCACTTTAAATTTAAACTAGTATGTTGGTTACAGAAAGTTTTGTTATAATTTCTCCTTTAAAAGTCTATCCTCAGGGAACTAAGCCGCAAATTCACAAAATAAACTGTAAATATGGTGAAAATGGGAGTGAACTGTGTCATCCATCAGGAGATAATCTCAGTAGGTTAGAGAAGAAGTGATCAATGTAGTTGAGTACATTGTGTAGAAAAGTAAGACTGGCTGAGGTAGAAAACGGTGTGACTGTGAGATGATGCAGAGTCAGGAAGAGGTAACCACATTAAGTTTGGTCAGAAATAAAAACTTGAAATAGTGATACATTTGAATATTACATCTTTCAAAATGAGCAAAAAAACTAAAGACTAATTTGATATAAAATTTAACTCAAATCTGACTTCTCTAATAAGCTCAACTTATTTTAGGAATGAGGTCTATAAGAATTCCAATGCCTACAAAACTTTAAAGACCATATTGATATAAACCTAAAGAAAAATTCTTCTCCATGCTTATACAATTTATTTTTTTATTTATGTTTTCATTGCAGGTATTCTATAACTATTCTCAAGCTGGTTCTAAAATATAGTTCTGGCAAATGAATTCCCTGTACTTGATTGATAAATTGACTGATAGATAAATGAAAAATGTTTTTGTTGAAAATAATAATAATAATATTATTTTCCATAATCCTAGCACTTTGGGAGGCCCAGGAGAGCAGATTGCTTGAGTTCAGGAGTTCTAAACCAGCCTGGGCAACATGGCAAAACCCCATCTCTACAAGAAGTACAAAATTTAGCAGGACATGGTGGCATGCATATGTAGTCCCAGCTGCTGAGCTGGGAGGATCAGTTGCGCCTAGGAGGTCAAGGCTTCAGTGAGCAATGATTGTGCCACTGCATTCCTTCCTGGGAGACAGAGTGAGATAATAATAATATTATTATTATTTTCCATTATTGGAAATCACAGGAACTCATTTATTTCAAAAGCAAATTTGCAACTTTTGAGGTCTCTAGAATCTACAACCTGTTTTAGCTGGTACTCTCTTTTGTTTCTGTAAAAAATGTTGATTCATGTCCATATAATAGTAAACACTTGTGACAAATTGGCTAATTTCTAATACCATGAATCAGTTGCTTATTTCCAAAACACTTTATGCCAATATTATTATTATAATCAACCAATTTTAATAGAAATTATGTAAAGTGATGAAATATAGAGAATAAGTTATTATAAAGATGTGGTTAAAATGCATCACTAAAAATTATTCACTAAGTTTTTTTAAAGACTGTAAAATCTTAAAAAATGTTAATATCTAAAAGAATTATAGGGCCAGGTGCAGTGGCTTCTGCCTGTAATCCTAGCATTTTGGAAAGCCCAGGAGGGCAGATCGCTTTAGTTCAGGAGTTCAAAACAAGCCTGGGCAACATGGCAAATCTCTGTCTCTACAAAACATACAAAAATTAGCTGGGTGTGGTGTCATGCACATGTAGTCCCAGCTACTTGGGAGGTTGAGGTGGGAGTATCACTTGGGCCTGAGAGGTCGAGACTTCAGTGAGCGATGATTGTGCCACTGCATTTCTGCCTGGGTGACAGAGTGAGACTCTGTCTCAAAAACAAACAAACAAACAAAAAACCGGTAAATTAATTAATTTAAAAAAATAAAAGAATTTTGCAATAAAAGATTATTTCTCTACTGTCTATATTTATGTTCTCTCACTTAAGAACATTATAATTGGAAAACATATCCCTGTGGTATACGCCAAAAATAGAACTCTGCACCTATTTATTTAAAAAATATTAAATTGATGTTGTGACGACTGGCTAGGGATTTGATAAAAGATAAACTGGGTTCTTTCCTCCTTTCACTCCAAGATAAATTCTAAATTAGTCAGAGAAAACATATTTTAAAAAATGGAACTATAAATGACCTATAAATGTAAATATTGGGAACAAAATATCATGAGCTGAGTCAAAACGAAAGAAACTGGGAAATAATATTTCCAATTTGTATGACAAAGAGTTTAAACATTTATTGAAAAAATGTTCTTAAATATCAAGGAGTAAAAATCAACAACTTGTAGTACAATGGGCAAATTTAAAATAGGCATTCATAGAAAAATATACCTTAAATGTATGAAAACTTGCTCACTTTCATTTGTAGTAAAAGAAAGATCAATAAATATTTTTATCTCATCAGAATGGCAAAATTCTAAAAGCATGATGAAATGTTTTGTTAATACATCTATGTGGATAAATGTATCTCCACACATTTCTGGTGAGGTTGAAAAAAAGTATTACAGGAATGGAGGTTTTTTGACAGGTTGATAATATCAGGAAGTTTACACAGTGAATTAGCCGTTTGATCGCACTAGGAATCTAGCACTAAGCTATACTGGCAAAAATATGAAATGATTCACTGTGGTAATTTTTAAGAGCAAATGAATGAAAACAACCTACTGTCCTTCAATAGGGAATTGAAAGATTAAATCCTTTATGTAATATAATGGGATATGATTTAGCCATAAAATAGAATGATTATGATCTTTATCCTATAATATGATACAAATTCTATGATATATGTGACAAAGACAGTATTTAATAGTTGATATGATTTTTCCATCTATCCATGTTGGGAGAAAGTCACAATAAAGGAAGCAGAAATGGAGACAAACATTTACCTAAATACCTTCCTATATAGTTTCTAATTTGCAATCTTTTAATAGTTGTACATAATCAAAAACAAATCAAATTAAATTAGAAAGTAAAAAGCTCCTAAAAATTGAAACTAATGAAACCCTCTCTCTAGGTTGACTGAAAATATATTTTTTATCTAAGTTAATTTAGAGTATATTATATTTTTATGTTCAAATTTAGAGAAAAATATTTGAAGACAAAATTTTACTGCAAAGAATTTATAAAACTCATTCAGTTTTCTGAATTTTATAAGCAATACTAGTGTTATTACATTGAAAATACTTCATTTGTAACTGGGTAAAGCAAATAAGCAAAATTTTTACTATAAGAAAAAATAAATATAGGAAAAAAATGAAACAGGATAAGTAAAAATCCTGTGGTAGTAAATCGGAATTGAAAATACATCATATGTTAACACATTTGTTTTGTTTCTGAAATACATTTTTTACTAACCCTGCTCCTTGCAAAGGCCAAGAAGTAATGGTAACTGAATCATTAAATCGTGAGTACTGTAAGTAGTTTCTCCACTAAAAAGAGCAGTTTTGGAACAATAGCTGTCGGGGAAAATATGGAAGATTAGCTGAAGCATCTAGTGTCAGAGTAACAAGGATGTTATCAGAGATAAGTGGGTTACATCAAAATTAAAAACGGGCAATAAAGGATGCTAGGTCCAAAATAAAGTAATTTGTCCACTATAAGGTAAATATTTTCATAAAAACATGTTCAATATCTAAGTGGTATCTTTATGTAGAAATTGCAGTTCAAGTAAACTAAAGAGGAGCCAAGGCACTAGGCAGCTGGACGTCAATCTATGGCTAATTTCACCATTACCACAACTGCCACCACTACTAACCTTAGCCTCTCAGAGCCATGTCTTTGTCCTCCTAGGCAAGGATGGTGGGGTAGGTACCTTGACAAAATAAAGGTCACTTCTAAAACAAGTTTCTGGGAAATGAGATTGGAGAATGATACAGTTATCTCTTTTCCTTTCTTTCTCAAATATCTTATTTATTTCTCCTATACGGTTCTTATGTGTCTAGTACATGGTTTTCTTTGATTATTAACTTACTCATGTATTGCTTTTGATTAGTCCTTTGTGGAAATTGAACAGAAATTATATACACGGTTGATAGTTTAATTTCTACTAATAAAGTAACTGTCAATAACAATAGCTAACTTTAGAGTTTAACTTCTACTAGTAAAGTAACTGTCGGTAACAATAGCTAACCTTATACAGCACTTACTGTGTGCTGGTTTAAAGCCTCTACCTTTAATTATTACAGACATTTTGGGGGGCAAATACTGTTGTGATTCCCATTTTACACAAGAGAAAAATGAGTCAGAAAGGTTAGAAGACTTGACCAGGTTATAATTAGTGTCTGACCCTAGAGATCAACTGACACAGAATGGCTCCAGAGTCCCCATTTAGAACCAGTCCTCAAATCGTATTTTTGCAGGACACGATTCCCCTCAGCACTCTTTCAGACAATTTTTTAAAAATTATTCCCATATATGCTTCTATCTAACTTCATGAACATTGAAAAAAGTCTCTTTCACATTATTTATTTTATAAAAATAAAAAGACTGCATAAAAAAATCTATGCCAAGTTGTTCCCTTTCATTGTAATAGTTTGTCACTATTACAATCTGCTGTTCATTGTTAAGGGACCCATTGATGGTTCTTATACATTCTTTTTAAATAATTTAGAAATACATGTGCTTAAAATTATGGCAATATTCATATAAATAGAAGTTTTTAGGTGATACTAATTGATGGATCTTTATTTTTCCCATTCTCTATTTTGAAACAAATTAAAGTGTTCTTTTCATAGGGGCAGCTGGCAGACATTGCCTCCTTTTTTGTACAATTTAGCAATAATGTAACCATCACGTAATTTATAAAGCATAAAAGTAGTTTTCTTTTGTTATCATTGGAGAATTTTCTAATTTATTCTTTTAATTAAGTCTTCTAGAAAAACTAAAAATTTAAAAAGTGAAATTTCTAAAATAACCTATATTAAAGACAACTTTGAATTCTTTGCATAGGACAGTAGTCTATTAACACACACTTTGAAGTGATTTATACCAGTCTTAAGTAAAACCATTACACAAATATTTATGGAATGGTTTTCACAATTAGGTGAAGTTGAAGAGCATTGTAAACAATGTTGACTAAATTTACCTCATTGTGGTCCAAATATGCTATTTTAAACAAACTATTGATGGCAAAAAATCCCCATAAAACACAATCTTTTAGAAAATGGTTTTTTTCTAGCTCTAGTGGGAGAATTTGTTTTTAAGTAATATTTACTTAAAATGACATATTTGTGACAATTTATTTAAATAAAAATATATAGAGTAATCAGTTTTAGAATCTGTTCTTAAGTCAACATATTCCCTTACAAATATATTTCACAAGAGACTTTATGAATATAATTTGTTCGACTAGGAAAGAGGTGATTCATTATTCCTCTTTATGTATCTGAATCTATGTAATAATAATGAAACACATTTGGGGTTTATATTGTATTTTTATTTTATTTTGGCAAATATAATTTATGTCTAAATTTCATGTGCTCACACGCACCCCGAATAGACTAAGGCCACTTTAATATATGAATTTAATTATCTATCATTATTACTACAATCACCTAGCAAACACTAAATTCCCTTATGCCATACATACTTAACCCAGAATGAAAGTGGTATTCTAATTTGTGGCATTTTAATTTTGACTGATTAACATTTGCTTCATTTGAATTATAAACAAGTTTGTATAATAACCTTATGATTAGTGAGTGACTTTTCCTAATTTTAAGTGGGAATAAAAAAGAATGTAGCTGTCAGGTATATTAGAATATGACCTCTAGCTAATTAAATTGGTCAACATTTTGGAGCAAATTTGTAGAAAATTTTCATATACTTTATCTCCCATGATAGTTGCAGAAATCATGTGAGGTTGCTCTTACTGTCCTCTGTATGGTAGGATGCTCTGGATGAAAAAGTGAATTTTAGAGAGTATGTGAATTCTTCAAGGTCATATAGCTAATAAATTCAGACTAAGTTCTTCAGATTTAATGTCTAGTTCTTTCCATTGTCATACTGTTATTAATCAAAAGTTAATATTTTATCATTGGAAAAATATAAACTTGATCATTTGTACATAGCACTCTTAGCTTGATACCCTCTTCATATTTTGATATGGTAATTGTTGATAATAAATTTCACTATGTAAAATGTGTATTTTAATTTTGAAATGGAACATCTAATGAATTCTTTTGTACCATGCACATCCTTTAAAGTGTCTCCTTCGATGCAATTCTGAATCTCTACAACTGCCAGCATGCAAATACACACACACACACACACACACACACACACACACACACACACACATAATATATATATTCACATGCTGGCAGTTGTGAATATACATTATATGTAAAAATATATAATATCATAAATTGTGAACATTTTAAAGTATGATTTATTTTATACAAACAAGATGCTTTAGGGGACAAGTGGTATTTAAGATCCAGTGCCTTCTACACTCATTCTTACAAATTCTATCACGTCCCAGACCTTGTCATTCCCAGGAATGAATAAAGAAAAAGAGCTACCTAGATCTAGTAATTAACCAGTGCAGCAAAAGCAGGAAACAACTGATACATGTGTGCCAGGAGATATCTTGCCCACATCCAAATCCCATATAAGCAACGTAAAAAAATAGCACTACTAGAGCCACAGTTCAGGATTGTCATGCCCTATGCCCAGGAGAAACTGAAAACAGACAGTAATGACTAACAACTATGCTAACCACAGGCAAAAAGCATTAAGTAGATCACTACTTCTGTCATTTATACTGTAATAACATCTGGGCTAGAATAGCAGAGTTATCTAAACAAGTTGTGTTTCATGCAGACAAATCATAAAATAAGTCAGAAAACTTAAAATTCCTGGGTAAATTTGGAGTTTAATGTGAAAAAATACATAGTAAAAACAGGATTTAGAAACATATTTTGGATGTTTTTCTGTTAATCCATTATTTACTTGATTGACCAATAGGGAGCATTCTTGCTCAAAGTGGCAGTGGTGGGTAATAACAATGGATCTTTCTCTGTGAAAGGCTAAACCCAACCTGGAAAATCGTTCTCTTCACATGAGTTTGGAGAATAGCTGTCCTGGAAACATAACTGTCACCTACTAATAAAATTCAAAACAATTCATAGGGAGATAGTCATTGTATACATTACATAAAAATTATTAAAATACTAAAAATGCAGAGTTTTTAGCTCTTGTTAGTCAATATTGATTACTTTTATCTATTCAATTCTGTTATTTCTATTATTAATTTAATAATTTCAGATGGTGAAAGTCAATGCATACAAAACACAGAAATCAACATCATTCTATACATCCCTGTCAAATTCACAATTTCACTGCCCCTCCCTTGAAGCAACAATTTTTAAATGTTTGTATTTTGGGTTTGCTTGTTTTTCTCCACAATGATATGTAATTATTTATACTAGCATTACTTGAAATATGAGCATTTAAAAAAATTTTTCTATGATAAATGAAAATTAGAACACTTAACATCCACCCCATGTCACCTTCCTCTCCTTAAATTCAGATAAATATATAAGGGAAACGTTGAACAGTCAAGCACTTTAATTTTAGTTTCTTTTATAATCAAAAAAATATTCTGGAAAATACATTCCTTTCTTATTAACTTTCTGCTTTTATTTACTGTTATTATGAAAAAATTCAAACATTAAAAAAGCAAAAGTCAGAGCACAATGACCATGACCATGCATGTCTATTTGCATCATACAGGTTTAGCTAATATATTTTCTCATAATGCTATATGTGTTTATATGTTCAGGACTAAATTATTTTAACTTATAAACATCATGATATTTCACCTATGTATATTTGTATATGTCCTTCTTAAAACTAAGACATTTCTTATATAACCATAATGGCATTTTCACATTTAAGAAAATTATTTCTTACATAGTATAATATCTAGTCCATATTTAAATTTTTTCAGTTGCTATCAATTTTATCTATTTCTTTACATCCATCATATAAGATAAATATATTAACACTCCCTATTTCTTTCCCCTCTTTTTCCAACTTCCTGTCTTCCAACATCTGTTCTTTATACTTATGTTCACCATAATAAAATTTTGTCTTCTTTGCCTATAATTTGTCTATAAAAGATGAAGAAAAATTAAGCTAAATAAATAGTAGATTTAGGAAAGTTGAAGGCCTATACCCAACTCTTGTCTTAGGTTCTGTGGGAAGCAGACTGTGAGGTTCAGTTTGAACATATGTCACCCATGAGGGAGTGTTCTGGGGTCACCTGTGAAGGAGGGAAGGCAATAGAATTGGGTAAAGGGAAAAGTTGAACAGTCAAGCACTTACAATAGAAACAAAAGGTTGAGCTGGTCCTATAGGGAAATTTGGAGCTGCGTTGACTCTTCAGAGACGCTCTTTAATGAGGTCAGAGGGCCAGACCTTTTTATTCCCACTTGTTTGGGTTACCGAATGATTGCTACTTCATGAACAGGGTGTAAACATGGGCTGTGACAACTTCCTTAGGTTGGAGGAAATGCCTGGGAAGCTACTCAACTGAGAACTCTTAAAAGTCAACACTCTCAGAAGCTGGCAGGAACAACTGGGTCCTGAAGTGGTGTCTGGGTGGCACCGTAACATCTGTGATGTGGCGAGCAGAACTGACCTGGAGAGAGCTGAGCTACCAGGTGCTGCCAGATCTATTACAACAAACAAGCCAAAATGAAAGTAGCAGTCAAGCCTTATTAACTTACTGAGATAAATTCAGCAAGAAGCTACACAAGAGAAAGCATCCCTTTCTTCAATATTCCCTTTTTCATCATGGAACAGTGCCAGGTGAGGATCAGGAAAATCAGCAAACACAGCGACTGTCTCAATGCCAAGAGAAACTGGAACAGAAGGCTCCTGTGGGTTTTTGGTTTATTTGGTGTTTTTGTTTCTCCCCTGGATGAGGCAGGAATAGGAGCAGGAGCTGAACAGTCCTAAATACTGAGTTAGAGTGGACAAAAGCAACTTCAAGTCTCCATGCCCCAACTCCACAAGGTGGCCTTGGCAGAGGAGCCTGAAGAAGTCCTCAGCTGAGCTACTTCTCCTCCCCTATGAAGAGGCCTCCAAACAGAAACCCCTGGTTTAGGAAGGCAGATATGAGTAAGAGTATGGATGGGCAGGAGGCCTGGGTCCTTGACTGCAACTCCCTTCGGAGACTGTGATGCACTGGCTGTGACCCAACTCTGGTGTGGACAGACCAGCTTTCTCCATGGGCAAAACAACTAACATTTTATAACTGCCTATGGTCATGCCTGAAAAGTCATGCATAGGTTTTGGCCAAGAGTCAGACTTCTCACACTACACATCATCCCCGGCTATTCACCTTGCCTCTCCAGATTCGAATAGCTGTTGAAAGATGTAAGTGGCTAGGTCTAAGTTAATTCTTCTGGTAGTATTGGTATGGGAGTTGATCCAGAATGGATGTGGTGTTTCTGTGTTATGGATGAAGCAAACTGCATAGACCCCATTGTATTGGAGAGTCTTCTTGAGACCATAGTGTAGCTCCTGAAAAAAAATGTGAACTGCAGAGCTCTGTGGACTGCTGTGAGAAAGTTTAAAGTCAGCCCCATCAATATGCTTGATCTTGTAAATACCTTGGCTAGGGAATGGGACTTGTAGCCTGCTAGATTCTATATGATCAGACCATTCATTGTTGGGGAGAAGGCTTTTCCTTTCGATTTGAGAGATTGACCTAGAATTCCCTAAGAGAGTAACCACCTGGGTCAAGATAGCTGAGGCCACCAATGGGTGACTGAGAGTCAGAGCTAAGAGAGAGCATGGCCTTCACAGGAAAGATGCAGAAGGCAACTAATAATCTAAACAGAAAAAACTCAATTACAGCAATTAAGAAAATGCAGAGATTGCATACACATACATACACACACAATGTATCTGCCTCCCTCCCTCTCTCTCTCTCCCTTCATTCCTTTCTTTTTTTCCTTTCTCTCCCTCTCATTTTCTTTCTTTTCTCATTTTTTTAACTTTGAGAGAAAACTTCTTGAATTTCATGTATGTCCTCTCTCTTTCATTTTTCATCATAATTTTTCTGAAATATAGCCTTTATTTTAAAGATTGATCTCTGAGTGGTGGGATTAGGTGTCTTTCTTCTGTAAAATGTATCATAATTTTTTTCAAACCAGCTGGATCCCTAACTGACTCGAATTTTGACTGAATAATATTTTTTCTTTTGAAAACTTTGACATCATTGCTTCTCCTTTCGTAACATCAAAAATCATCAATGTAAAATCCTAGGAGAGTTTGATTCTTTGCTTTTAGGTAGTGTGATTTCGGAGCTTTCCGAAGAATGGCAGTAGTAGTTTTTATGCATCCTGCCTGAACCTTCATAAGCATTCTTGAAATTAAGCTTTATAATCTAGTTCCAAGCTAGGAAATCTACTAATTCACTATTTGTTCTCTTTCTCTAAACAGTATAAGTCATTTATTAGACCTGAACAATACTTGTTATATTTATTCCTAGGGATTTGTAATTTTGATTCTAATTTTAGTTTCACATTTTATAAATGTATGTTCTCCCTAATTTTTGTAAATATGGAAAAATTAATTTTTAATTGCAGATTCAATTACTTTTCTAAATAAAGTGCATTTCAGTTTTTCCATTACTTTTTGTTCTGCTTTGTTGTTGTTGGGTTTTTTTTGTTGTTGTTTTTTGGGTTTTTTGTTGTTGTTCTTTTCCCAGGAATCTGTTCATTTATTCTAGGTTTTTTTCTTGTTCTTGGCACAAAGCTTGTTTTTCTTCTCTTTTGTAAATTGTCCTATGACTTTTAATATTGATAGAGTGCATAAAATATCTCCAATTCCGTTTCTAACATATCTAGGTATTTCTATATCAGTGTTGTAAAGAATTAATATGTTTCATTGGTCTTCAGTTATAATAGTTATTAGTTAAGACCCTGCTTTGACTTTGTTGAAAATCTCTACTGCACTTTAGTTTTCTGTTTCATTAAGTTATGCTAATAACTTTTTAAACTGTAATTCCTTCCAGTTTTTAGGGTGAAACTTGCTATTCCTTTTAAATTTCTTCAGTTGAATATTTAAATCCTTGATTTTCAGCCTTTTTTTCTAATATTTGCATTCAAATCTATAAATTTCCTTGAAGTATGCTTTTGCTGTGTCACAAAGTTTTAATATATTTCATTTCCATTGTCATTTTATTCTATTTTGGTTTTTTTTTTTTTTTTTGAGACAGAGTTTCACACTTGTTTCCCAGGCTGTAGTGCAATGGCATGATCTCAGCTCATTGCAACCTCTGCCTCCCAGGTTCAAGCAATTCTCCTGCCTCAGCCTCCTAAGTAGCTGGGATTACAGGCATGCACCACTATGCCCAGCTAATTTTTTGTATGTTTAGTAGAGATGAGTTTTCACCATGTTGGCCAGGCTGGTTTTGAACTCCTGACCTCAGGTGATCCACCCACCTTGGCCTCCCAAAGTGCTGGAATTACAGGTGTGAGTGACTGCACCTGGCCAATATTTTCTATTTTTAATTGTGTGTTTTCTTTGATCTACTGGTTTTTAAAAAATATATTGCTTAATTTCTAAACACATGGGCGTTTCCTTATTTTGTAATTATATTAAGTTCTGAGAAAATCCTTTATATAACTTTAACCGTTTATCATTTATGGAGACTTACTTTATGTCCTAGCATATACAAAAATTTAGCAATTGTCCTGTGAACATTTACAAAGAATATGGGTTCTGCTGTTGTCTGTTGTGGTGATCTGCAACTTTGAGCTTTGTTTATTTTATTGGTCAAATCTTCTAATCCTTCTTTTTGTCATCTTGTCCCATAAGTTGCTGAGAGTAATGAGCTTTTATTTTTTAATTCTCTCATAAAGAAGATAGATTTTCCTATTTATTATTTTTGCAGTTAATTTTCATTTTATATATTATGACTATTATATATATGATACTAAGCTATAATAAGTTTAGAATTATTATATGCTCCCAGTTATTTAAATCTGGATCATTATAAATGATATGGTTTGGCTTTGTGTCCCCACCCAAATCTCATCTCAAATTGTAATCCCCAGGTGTCAAGGGAGAGACCTGGTGGGAGGTTATAGGATCATGAGGACAGTTTTCCCCATGCTGTTCTCACAATAATGAATGAGTTCTCCTGATATCTGATGGTTTAAAAGTGTAGCATGTCCCCCTACTCTCTCTCCTGCTACCAGATAAGATGTGCCTTGCTTCCCCTTCCACTTTTGCCATGATTGTAAGTTTCCTAAGGTCTCCCCAACCCTGCAATACCATGAGTCAACTAAACCTTTTTTTTTCTTCATAAATTATCCAGTCTCAGGTAGTATCTTTATGGCTGTGTGAAAATGGACTATTACAAAAAAATGGTACTGCAGTAGTGGGGTGCTGCTAAATAGATAATCTGAAAATGTGGAAGTGACTTTGGAATTGGGTAATGGGCAGAGATTGGAACAATTTGAAAGGCTCAGAAGATAGAAAGACGTGGGAAAGCTTGGAACTTCCTAAAGACTTGTTGAATGGTTTTGACTAAAATGCTGATAATAATGTGTACAATGAAGCCCAGGCTGAGGTGGTCTCAGATGGAGATGAGTACCTTCTTGGGTATTGGAGTAAAGGTGGCACTTGCTATGCTTTAGCAAACAGATTGGTGGTATTTTGCCTCTGTCCTAGGCATCTGTGGAACTTTGAACTTGAGATAGCTGATTAAGGGTATTTGACAGAAAATATTTCTAAGCAGCAAAGGGTTCAAGATGTGACCTGGCTTTTTCTAAAAGTGTATGCTCATATGTGTTCACAAAGAGATATTCTGAAATTGGAACTTATGTTTAAAAGGGAAGCAAAGCATAAAAATTTGGAAAATTTGCAGCCTGACCATGTGGAAAAACAACAACAACAAAAAACCAAACAATTTTCTGGGGAGAAATTCAAGCCACCAGCTGCAGAAATTTGCATAAGTAAAGAGAACGCTAATGTTAATTGCTAAGACAATGGGGAAAATGTGTCTAGGGCATTTCAGAGATCTTCATGGTAGGCCCTCACATCATAGGCCCAGAGGCCTAGGAGGGAAAAATGGTTTCATGGGCCAGGCCCAGGACCCCACTACTCTGTGCAGCCTTGAGACATGGCACCCTGCGTCTCAGTCGCTACAGCTTTAGCAATGGCAAAAAAGGGCCAAGGTACAGCTTAGGCCATTGTTTCAAAGCGCATAGGCTGTAAGCCTTGGTGACTTCCATGTGGTGTTGCGCTTATGGGTATGCAGAAGCCAAGAGTTGAGTTTTGGGAGTCTCCACCTAGATTTCAGAGGATATATGGAAACACCTGGATGTCCAGGCAGAAGTTTGTCTGCTTCAGGGATGTAGCCCTCACAGATAATCAATAATAGGGTAATGCAGAGGGGAGATTAGGGTTGGATCTCCCACACAGTGTCTCCACTGGAGCACTGCATAGTGGAGCTGTGAGAAGTGGGTCAGCCTCCTTCAGACCCCAGAGTGGTGGATCCTCTCACAGCTTGCACTGTGTGCTTGGAAAGGCAGAAGGCACTCAACACTAGCCAGTGAAAGCAGCTGGGAGGGGGGCTGTACCCTGCAGATCCACAGGGGCAGAGATGCCCAAGGCCTTTGGAGCCCACCTCTTGCATCAGCATGCCCTGGAAGTGAGACATGAAGTCAAAAGAGATTATTTTGGAGCTTTAAGATTTTATGAATGTCCCACTGGGCTTCGGACTTGCATGGGGCTGGTAGCCCTTTGATTTTGGCCAATTTCTTTCATTTGGGATGGGAATATTTACCCAATGCCTGTACTCCCATTATATCTTGAAACCAAATAACTTGCTTTTGATTTTACAGGCTCATTGGGAGAAGGGATTTTCCTTGTCTCGGATTAGACTTTGGACTTGGACTTTTGGGTTAATGCTGGAATGAGTTTAGGCTTTAGGAGACTATTGGGAAGGTATGATTGTGTTTTGAAATGTGAGAAGGACATGGGATTTGGGAGGAGCCAGGGACTGATCCATATAGTTTGGCTCTGTGTCCCATCCCAAATCTCATCACGAATTTTAATCTCCAATGTTGAGGGAGGGCCATGGTGGGAAATGATTGAGTCGTAGGGGCAGTTTCCCCTATGCTGTTCTTGGCTTAGTAAGTGAGTTCTCATGAGATCTGATGTTTAAAAAGTGTGGCACTTCCCCTCTCCCTCTCGTCACCATGTAAGACGTGCCTTGCTTCCCCTTCGTCTTCTACCATGATTGAAAGTTACCTGAGGCCTTCCCAACCATGTGGAACTGTGAGTCAATTCATTATTTTTTCTTTATAAATTACCCAGTCTCAGGTAATTCTTTATAGCAGTGTGAAAATGGACTAATAAAATAAAAAGTATTATATATTAAAATCTATATTGTATCCTTTTAACATATCTCTAGCAGCTTTTTTTTGGAATAAAAATTATCTGTTATATGTTTTACCATCCTTTTATTTCAACCTTTCTATATATTGCATTTATTTATTCAGTTTTTTAACCTAAGTTGTTATTGTCTTCTAAATGAAACATTATTTACATTTGTAAATTAATTAAAATGTAAATAAAGTATTTATGTATGTAAATAAATTATGGTAAATAAATTAATTTCCTTTTTTTGTAGTACTACTCTGCTTTTCCTTTTAATGAATCTTCTTTAGAAACATTACAAACTTTTTTAGTCATTTTCCCCTACTAGCTTGTTAATTATCCACTTTTTTTCTATTCACTTAGTGGTTACTCTGGAATTTACAAATTCATACTAGATTTCTCAAATGTTAATGTAAATCGGTATATTATCTCTTCCAAAAAAAAAAAAAACATGAATTTTAAAATACTTTACCTTCCTTTAAAATTTCTATTTTTGTCATATGTTAATTGCATATTTTTAAAACCCCTTAGTATATTATAATTATGGAGTTATCTAATACATGTTTATTTAGATTTATCCATACATTTACACTTTTTATTATCCCTAACATTCACTTTCCAAACTGGACAATTATTTTTGGCTTAATGAAAGCTATTTTTTATGCCTTTCATTATGGACTACTGGTGACATTTTTTTCTCAGTTTTGTTGTCTGAAAATGATTTCATTAATTTCCATATTGAAAACATTTTCTCTGGTTATAGAATTCTAAATTGGCAGATTTTTTTCTTCTGACATTTTGATAATGTAATTCCATTATCTTCTGCTTTTACTAATTTCATTGAGAATCAGCTCTCAGCCTTACTCTTGATTTTTTTGAAGATAGCATGACTTTCTTTCTATTGCTGCTTTTAACATTTACTTTGTCTTTGTTTTCAACAGTCTTACTGTGATATGCCTGGGCATAGCTTCTTTTGATTTAACTTGCTTTAAATTCATTGAGTCCCTTTTGTCACTCAAAAAAAAAAAAATGCCATTATCTGTTTACATAGTCTTTCTCCCAAACTCTCTTTTCTCTTTGTGAATCAAATGAAAATATGACCCTCTCACATCTACATCTCTTTTCTCCTTTTTAATATTTTGAATCTCTTTATGATTTCCATTTTGGATATTTTCTTCATACTTCTTTCCCAGTTAACTTTTCAATTTACCTCCATATAACAATCCATTAAGCCCATCAATTGTGTTCCTAATTCTTAAAAAAATTATGTCTAGAAATTCCATTTGACTTTTAGGAAATAGTTTATATTTATCTGTCAAATTTGGTAATGTAATCATTTAAATTATTATTAAAAAGTCTATGTCTCATCAGCTCATCACATAAATCTCCTATTTATACTTTTCATTGTTTCTGTTCTTTTCAGACACAAAATGTTTTACCTATTTTGTCTGGTGTTTTTGATTATTGCTAGACATTCTATATAAAAATTGTAGAAATAATATAGACCTATGATATTATCATCTTAACTCAGAGATAATTTATATTTGCTGTAGCAGGCAAATAGAGACACTAGTAATCCTGGACTATTTTTGTCCATTTCCAAGAGTAAGGTGATTTGAAGTTGGGTTCTAGTTCTGCAAGTACTGGAATATTTCTCATCCACCTTTTATTCAAGGATACCCTTTAGAGCCTCAATGCAAAGCATTATGTTTAAACAGTGTTGGGTTTTTATATACATTTTACTGGTTTGTTTGGACAGGCTCTGTACATTATGTTATAATCCCCAGACTCTAATGAAGCTCTCAGAAGTTTAGCTTCTCAGCCTTTCAGCTGACTCTTCAGAAATTGTTAGTTATTCTCTAAGATAAAATTGACTCTAACAGTGTCCTCACTTCCTGGTTTTCCCCCCACCCCGGCACCATAATCCTTCTCTGTCATGTGAACTTCCCTGGGCCTTTAGGCTTTCTTTTTTTACTATTTAAATTTTCAGTTTATTTTCTGTTTTGTTAACTTTCTTGTTTTTTTGATCTTTCCCTTTTTGCTCTATATTGTGTACTTTCCTTTAATTTCAATCTTCTTGGTTGTCAATATTTAGTTTTTATTTTAATTTTGGCAATCGTTTTTAGTAGCTAAGAGCACTCTTTCAGTTTGTGAGTTTTTTCCTTTTTATTACACCCAATTGTATTTTTATATAGCTACAAGAAAATTTTAAAATCTCCAAGCATACTAATAGGAATACTTTTAAAATTTCTCTTTTTTCCCCCTGAATTATTTCAGTTTTCATTGGGGATATATGTTCTGCTTTATTATTTTTTTTCTTTCTTCCCTCCGTCAGCAGGAATTAAGAGCTGCTGGCAACATTCCTGCTTCTCACTCTCCACAACATTCACAGCTTGCCACCAATATCTGCTCTGGGACCATTAAAACCAATATCATCACGTCTTTTATTTCTGTTTATGTGATAACACAAGAAGCTCAGAATTCTCTTATTATCCATAATACCCTGATTCTGATCCACACAGAGCTTTAAAGATCACTCTTGTGATCACCTCTGCGGCTACATCTCTCATCAATCTTCATTTTCTTAAAACAAATAATCAAACAAACAAAACAAAACAAAATAAACCTGAAGAACTCACTGTCTATCATTGGCAAATCTATATCATTAGTCACTTCTGAGACCTCACACTTGCTCAAACTGAAATCTGAGTTTCTTTATGCCAATCCTTCCTATGCTGACCTCGTATGTTCAGACCCTCTTGTAACTTTGCGGTATTACTTCTTTTTTCAACTTCTAAATCATTTTTCCTCTGTTGAAAAGAAATGGCCAATTTTGATTTGATGTTATAAGACTCCAACAACTCATTCTTTTTCAGCTGGTTGTTGACACTTAGGAGTTTTATTACCTAGCTAACTGTCACTCTCTCTGCCACTACTCCTATTATTATTCTGGATTATTTTAATACTCTGATTACTAGAATCTAGTAGATTACTTGTGTCATAACCTGGTTTATTAGCTTCTTGATCTTTTATGTGTCATTCCTGACCTCCATCCTACTTATTTCCATGGTCACATCAAACATCTTGTCTTGACCAATAACTACAACTCCTGCAAAATCTTAGTTTCAAGTGTTCCACTCTCCCACTACCACCTTTCATTTTTCTAGCTCACTCTTTCTAGAAACCTATCTCCAACAATTCCTCTACCACAATATGTATAAAACCTAAAATATTTTATTTATTTGTAATTTTTTCATATATTTACTCCCATTAAGTCATTTCCAGTTTTATTGGAAATGTTCATTATTAGCATACTTTTCTCTCATCAGCATACTTTTACATCTCTCATCAATCTTCATTTCTTTAAAACAAATAGTCAAACAAAACAGAACAAAATAAATCTGAGGAACTCATCGTCTATCATTGGAAAATCTATATCATTAGTCACTTCTGAGAACTCCCACTTGCACAAACTGAAATCTGAGTTTCTTTATGCCAATCCTTCGTATGGTTCATTGTTAGCATACTTTTCTCATAATTTTTACTTCCTGTCCCTATGTTTTGTTTCACTTACTTGTCCGAAATATAACCTTGATGAAACATATCTTTCCTTCTATTCTTGACCAAAACCTGCATAGCTGAACGTGGCTACTGGAAACTGCAAGTAGCTGATCATCTCACTTAATATTAACATTGGCCAACTTTAATGATGCTTACTGCGCGGAAAGCAAAGCCGTGCATTTGCTTACACTCCTAAATGCTTTTTAAAATAACTGTTCTATCTTCAAATCACCAACATCTCCTATCTAATTATTTCCTTCACTTGATAACTTTACTTCCCATAATACATTTAAAATAATAGCAATCATGAAGTAATTTATCAAGCTCTCACTGCCACATTATTCCACCTATGTAGCATCTGTACCCAAATACTCCACCACTCCTCCTGTCACTACAAAAAAACTGTCTATATTCTTGACTTTTGCTAAGCATCCATTTGTATAATGGATGTCATATTCTTATGCTCATATAAAGATACTACTCGGAGATCTCTCTTCTCTTTTGCATCATGTCATTTTTCTTCTCTACTGTATCATTTCCATGAGCTTGCAAATATGCTATCTTCTCTATTTATAAAATCAACCAATAAAACCTAAACATTTTTCTTGACTGCAATTAATGATCTGGCTAGCATTACATTCCTTTACCTTTATAACACAACTATGTGATTGAGTACTCTGTATTTGTTATTTCCAATCCTATTCCAATCTTTTTCACAAAAAAAAGATCCTATCAAGCTTTTGCAAAACTACTCCAATTGAACCGCTTTAACTAGAGATTCCTCCCATCCCAGCATGTGTCTCTATGCAATATGAATTTATGTTCCTAGCATCATTCTATTTTCCAGCCCCTCAAATCTGGAATGCTGCCATAACAAGAACCTAAAGCATTTGCTGTTGGCTTTGTGACTATGCAGCAGGAGAAAGCTGGGAAGACAATAAATAGACTATTGATGGAAACTGAAAGAACTGTAAAGAACTCATAAGCATAAAACATAAAGTAAGCAATATATTGATCAATATATAAATTACTGGCTTTTACTGATCTTGTTGCTTCTTTCAACTTCAGTTCATCCCAGGATGTGGCCCTCTAGAAGCTGGACTATCTTTATTTATTTTGCAGTGTTCAGCTCTATTAAGTGAAGATTTCAGGATCTTACTTCTAAGCAGCTCCTCATCTCTGACTAGGTTAGATATACTTCTAGATAGACTAGATGAGTGATTCTATCTGCATTCATATCTATTCATTTTCTCCAGATAACAAGTTGATCTTCAGAAGACTACATACAACACATCTTTGCTCAGCATGTTCTTTGGGAGAGAAATAGTAATGGAATAAGAATTGCACAGTTAAAATAAAGAAGAAGACAACTTGGGTGAGGGTATTAGGAATGGGCCTGGAATAGTTGAGCCATTGGGAAAATAAAATAAAATAAAGTAAATGAAGCTATTAAGTGATGTCTGGGACCATTTTGTATGCTTGTCTTTTCCAGTGTTTTTGATTGACTGCTAGACATTCTACATAAAAGAAATGTAGAAATAATATAGACCTATGATGATATTATCTTAACTCAGAGATAATTTATATTTCCCCTAGCAGGCAAATAGAATTTGGGGCTGGGTTTGCTTTGGGAGACTGAGGAAGAAGAATCGCTTGAGCCTAGGAGTTCGAGACTAATCCAGGCAACATAGCAAGATCCTGTCTCTACAAAAAAATTAAAAATGAACTAACTGTGGTGATGCACACCTATAGTTGTAGCTACTTAGGGAGCTGAGGTGGGAAGGTTTCTTGAGCACAGGAGTTTGAGGCTGCTGTGAGCCATGATCATGCCATTGCACTCCAGTCTGGGAGACAGAGCAAGACCTCGACCAAACCCCACCCCACAAAACAGTTGTCTGAAATAGCCATGTCACATCAAAACTGCCAGTATTAATTAAACCTTAAAATGGCATGCAGTATTAGTATATTGAAATACTTAAAACCAATGACTACCCTTGAAAGATGGACAGATACATTTCAGTATAAACGAAGAGAACAAGTAGAATCTTAGATATCTTGTTAAATTCCATGGGAACAGACGGTCTTACTGATCTCTGCATTCCCAACAGCCAAAAGATTCTTGCATATAATAGGGAATCAGTAAATATTTGTTGAATATGAATAACTGCATGTTAATATTTGTTATTTATGTATAGATTGGCAGAGAAGCAGAAATCTTCAGATATTTTTGAAAAATGGTAAGCAATGTACCATGGCCAAAGTCTGTGGAGGTAATAATGAGGGTTAAAAAATTAAGCTTGAAAGGGGGCAAAAGATTTATAATCATATTCATGTATTTTCATTGCATAATTTAATCAATACAAAATAAACATTGTATAAGTGCCTTCAACTTTGTAACAGAGAGTGTGTATATTTAGGAATTTGTTAGGATTTTAAGCATGTGTTAGATCACACATATGTAATTTTGTTTTGAAATTATTAATTGAAGAATATTTTCTTTGTATAAATAATATAGAGGTTATTTTATTTAAACTTTTAATTTATTTATATTCTTAAAGACATTCATGGAAAATAGGAAATTCATTTTTGGGGATTCTTGCTAATAAGTATTACAAACTATTTTGAGTATAGTATATTTGAACAGGTGATTTTGTTTAACTAGCATGTCTTTGAGGAAATAATATAGTTTCCCATTTTGATTAGAAACAACTTATTTATTGAACTCAGATGCTGCCTTTTGGAAATAAACACTGTCTATAGATCAAAATAAAGTTTCCTTTTTTATTGTAGGAAACTGACACACTATGGATGTAGGGAGTGTTGGAACCATGTGTCACAGCTGCGCAAGGCATTAACAGCAGCAGCAAGAGACTTGGGAGGCAGGTGCAATGAGCTAGAAATCGGGAAAAGCATGCTGTGCTCTTTACAGAAAAAGGTTCAATCCATACTCTTACACGTTGTAGAGACAAACTAGATTTATTGCAAATTAATAGGCAAAGCCTAGAAACTGGATATAGTTCAGAAAAAGATGGAGAGACAGTAAGTTCAAAAATCAAAGCAAGAAACAGGAGTTGCTAGGAAGCTAAGATGAATTTCTGTAGACTTTGAGTGAAGAATTAGATGTCTATCTCTTGTTATATTAAATCTTCTGTAATAAAGTTTGAGCTTTCTAAGGATTATTAAATGTACATTGAGAAAGACATTTACTTTTCTTATGTACTTAATACATAACTATAAACCCAGACTGAAGATATAGTTAAAAAGAGTTTCATTTAATTTCTAAAATATTCTAAATAGAATATTATCATCTCTTGGAAAGAAAGAAAAGTAAGAATTTTATTTCTTTAGGAGGTAAGACTAGGATAGTCTGTACTAATAGGAAATAATATTACTTCAACCCCTAAATGCTTCACTTCCTATTTTCTTCATTACAGCAGTTACAGCCATACCTTGTTTTATTGCAGTTCACTTTATTGTGCTTCAAACATATTGTGCTTTTTACATATTGAAGGATTGTGACAACCCCGTGTCAAGAAAGTCTATCAGAACATTTTTTCCAACAGCATGTGCTCACTTCTTGCCTCTATGTCACATTTTGATAATACTCACAATATTTCAAACTTCTCCATTATTATTATAACTGTTATGGCAATCTGTAATCAGTGATCTTTACATGACTATTGTAATTGTTCTGGTGTGACATGAACTCTGCAAATATAAGCCAGTGAACTGAATGAAAAACTGTTATGTGTATTCCGACTGTTCCACTCACTGGCCATTCCCTTGCTTTTCTCCCCTTTCTCCAGCCTTTCTTTTCTCTGAGATAAAACAATATTGAAATTTGGCCAATAAATAACTCTAGAATGTCTTTTAAGTATTCCAGTGAAAGGAAGAGTCAACCGTCTCCCACTTTAAATCAAAAGCTAGAAAGGATTAAGCTAGTGAGGAAGGGATATTTAAAGCTGAGATAGGTTGAAAGCTAAGCCACTTTTGCCAAATAACCAAGTTATAAAATGCAAAGGCAAGCTTATTGAGAGAAATTAAAAGTGTTACTCCGCTGAACACATGAATGATAAGAAAGTGAAGCAGACTTCCTGATATGGAGAAAATTTGAGTTGTCTGGATAGAAGAACAAACTACCCACAACATTTCCTTAAACCAAAGGCTAATTAGGAGCAAGGCCTTAACTCTCCTTAACTCTATGAAGGATGAAAGAGGTGAGGATGGTGCAGAAGAAAGGTTTAAATTAAGGAGAGTTTGGTTCGTGAGGTTTAAAGAAAGAAGCCATCTCTGTAACATAAAAATGTGAGGTAAAGCAGCAAGTGGTGGTGTGGAATCGGCAGTAAAATATCCAGAAGGTCTATCTAAGATAATTAATTAAGATCGCTATCCTAAAAATAGATTTTCAATGTAGACAAAACAGCCTTGTACTGGAAGACGGTGCCATGTTGAAATGTAATAACTGGAGAAGAGAAGTTAGTGCGTAGCTTCAAAACATCAAAGGACGGGCTGACTCTCCTGTTAAGGGATAATATAGTTGATGACTTTCAGGTAAACCCAGTGCTCATTTGCCATTCTGAAAATCCTAGGGCCCTTAGGAATGATGCTAAATCTACTCTGCCTGTGCTGTATAAATGAAACAGTAAAACCTGGATGACAGCCCATCTGTTCACAGCATGCTTTACTGGATATTTTAAGCACACTGTTGAGACCTACTGCTCAAAAAAGAAAAGATTTCTTTCAAAATAATATTGCTTATTAACAATGCAACTAGTCACCCAAGAGCTCTGATGGAGATATAGAAAGAGATTAATGATGTTTTCATGTCTGCTAACACAACATCCATTCTACAGCCCATGGATCCAGAAGTCATTTTGACTTTCAATTCTTATTATTTAAGAAATATATTTTAGAAGGCTATAGCTTCCTTAGACAGTGATTCCTCTGATGGATCTGGGCAAAGTAAATTGAAAACCTTCTGGAAAGCATTTATCATTCTAGATGCCATTAAAAACATTCGTGATTCATGAAAGGAAGTCAATTAGTATCATCAGCATTAACAGGAGTTCAGAAGTTGATTCCAACTCTCATGGATGACTTTAAAAGGTTCAAGACTTCAGTGGAGGAAGTAACTGCAGATATGACAGAAATGGCAACAGAACTAGAATTAGAAGTGGAACCTGAAGATGTGACTGAATTACTGCAGTCTCATGAGAAAATTTGGATGGATGAGAATTGTTGCTTATGAATAAGCAAGGAAAGTGGTTTCTTGAAATGAAACCTAATCCTGGTGAATATGTGTGAACATTGTTTAAAAGACAACAAAGGATTTTGAACATTACGTAAACTTAGTTGGTAAAGCAGCTGCAAGTTTTGAGAGGATTGACTCCAATTTTGAAAGAAGTTCTGTTCTGGATAAATGCAATCAAACAGTATCACATGCTACAGAGAAGTCATCTATGAAAGGAAGAGTCAATCAATGTAGTAATCTCATTGTTGTCTTATTTTTAAAAACTGCCATAGCCACCCCAGCCTTCAGCAAACACCACGCTTATAAGTTAACAGCCATCAACACAAAGGCAGCAAAAAGTTAATGACTCACGGAAGGCTCAGATAATCATCAAGATTGTTTAGAAATAAAGTATCAATTAAGGAATGTACATTTTCAGACATTATACTATTGAACACTTAATAGAATACACTATAGCATAAACATAAATTCTGTGTTTACTGGGAAATCAAATAATTTATGTGATTTTTTATTGTAATATTTGCATTATTGTGGTGGCCTGGAGCTGAACCTGCAATATTTCTGAGACATCTTTGTATTTTTATGTAAATATATGCTTGAATATAAGACAAAGAGAAATGAAAAATGACTGCTATTTATAAAAAATATATTTTTATTGAGAATGAAAATGAGAACAAAAAAATGTTGAATTGCTAATAAATTGCTTGTTTTTGAAGTTAATGCCATAACAATTCTATAATATATAGGATTAATTACTAGAATTTAATCTATAGTTATTTTACTAAGATTTATTTTCAATTAAGTTGGAAACTCTCTTTTTATGCACTAGAATTCTTTAAGAAACATAATTATTAGCTATTTCTTGGCAATTAAATTTCCTTAAAATATCTTACTATAGAATTATCTGAAACTAACACATGTGGTATATTATTGAAAAACTTTTAATATGTTATACATTTTTACATGTAATATTTATTTTTCTGTTTTTCCTACTAATAATTCTTTCCTTGTCACCATGACTTCTTAGAGCATCTATATTACCTTGTCTGTCCCTATGTTCTGTGGTCAAGCCGTATGACTCCAAATTCTTAAAAATAAACAAATTAGTTTCAGTGACTTTGAAGACTATTTTGGAGGTACATCTAATCAAAAATATATCAATAATACTCAGAATCTATTTTTATAATAGTATAACTTTAAGATAAACCTGATTTAAAACCTTAAAAGATTTACATCCTTTTGTGACAGGAATAAAACATGTTTTCATGTGTGAACAATGTCAACTGTATGTCTTCACCATGTAAAAATAGGAATGACTGGTAACAGCTAGAACTAGTACCCAAATTTATTTATTTACTGTGTTTCTTGTTTGTTATTTGTTATCTTCATGTTCATTTTAAAATGATAGGAGAGTGTTGCTTCCTCAGATAACTCCATCAAGTCTTAACTTCTGAGATAAGGAAAAAATATAATAAAGTCAACATTATTCCTCAGCATAGTAAGCTTTGGATCTTCACCCAAAATCTTTCTGTTAGAGTCAGCAATTGAGGACTGTCCCCTCAAAGCCTTTACACACCAATCTGGACAGCAGCTAGAGGGAAATAGGCAACAAGTTGTAATTGTATTTTCACCTCTATCACCCAATTATACTACATCTCTTGTGCCTTTCTTCGCCAATCTCTGTGAAGGTTCCCCAAAGAACTGGAACATTTTCTTACAGCAAACTGAGGTAGATAACTCCAGGTAATTAGATTGAAAAAATGCTTAAGGATTCCTTAAAGCACCGCTTCGTGCAATGCTGCATAACTATTGATTACTGGGAAACCATAAGGGGAGGAAACCAGATGTGGAGCAAACACACACGGAACAGGTAAATTTAGACTTCGGGCAAGGACTCCAAATCAAATATTAATTTCATTTCATTTGAAACTGTTTCAATTTGTTGCCATTTGTATCTGCTATACTTCCTTATCATCACTGCATATTTAAACTGTGTATTTTACACAGAGAGTACTAAAGATTATTTTATTTGAAATGAGCATGTTTAGTAAATTTCCCAGGGAATGTATCTGTGGTAATGACTGCTTAAAATTAGTCTTTTCTACCTACCTTTACCTGAGAATAATAAAGTTCCAGTAATTAAGGTAATCTGTGTAAAATTTGTCACTTAGTGGTGTCAAAGCAAACAACATTGACATGTTGCTTAACACTTATCTTAATCGTTATTTATGTTAAACTGTCAAACAAGATTAGCTCTTCTTCAGCATTACTTTCTACTGTACTGTTTAATGTTCATGTTTAAATTTTTTTTACTTTCTGTATCCAATTTCTTAGTTATCTCACTTTCAGTTCCCAAGTTAGAAACTTGAGTTTGTCCTTGACTCTTCCCTCCCACCTTGTTTCCAATCACTGGGCTTAATTTGTCTATTACCCTCTGCTTTCTTAATATCATGGATAAAATTCTGCAATAAATTCTCAAGTATAACTTATATTTATGCCAAATATTTTAATTGCTTTTTTGTGCTTTCAGTTGTATGGTCATCAATTTCAGCTATCATACCGACAAGAGAGAAATGTATTTAAAAAGAAATCTGTTCGTGTCATTTGTTTAGTCATATCGTAATTTGAAACTTAATTATTGACCATTTATTTTGTAGTTTCTGGAAACAGAATTCACTTCTCAGAAGGAGGGCAAGACGGGTAATTCAACAAACAAATTCACGTTTGATTAAGGTTGTTCGCAATATAAAATTTCATTATTTCAAGTTGCTTTATGTATTGAAATCTCCCCAACTTTGTTTCTCACCACTGCCTCCAACACAAACGTAACTACCATCTTGTTCCAGGAAACATGTGCACCAGAAACACTGATCTGCTTTATTCCTCTGAGCACAGCTTATTATTTTTATCCATCATCCTCTTGTTCACACGGTTCTTTCAGGCTGTGATTCTTTCACTGTCCTCCCTTGCTTTTTCTAATCCTTCTTTACTTAGAGATTTGGATAGAGACTCTCTAATCCAGAAAGCTATCTTTAACCATTTGGAAGAATTTATCATTAAAAATCAGATTTAACCAAAGGGAAAAAAAAAACTTTATTCAGTGTTTAAATAATCATCAGTGCATTCTCCATCACTGCACGCGCCATAAGGTACTATAATTATAGTCTATACGTCCAACTCTCTCAAATTGCAAACTTTTTGAGGACAATATTCATGTGGGGTTTTTGTTGGCATTGTGTTTGCCTCAAGATAGAGATTTAATACATTTTCCCAATTAATGTACAGAGAGAAAAAATAAAATTTGGCAAATAATAGTTCTTCATTTTCAAGGTCACTTTTAATTAATTTATTTGGGAATATTACCTGATAAAATAAAGTGACATAGTTTGCTAATATATATGTATATACACTTATATATAATATATATTACATATAGGTACATTGTATATTAGTTATAATACATTACATATAACTATGTTAATATATATTGTACCATACATGTAGTTGTACATAATATTTTATATATAACATATATTTGTATACAACATTTTTTATTCATTCAGGATATATATATATATATACACACATACATGTATATATATGTATGTCATAGATGAATCAAAATGTATTAACTTCTGCAATATTACCCACTTGGAGATAAGATGCAAAGATATTTCATACATCTTGAAGGCAATTGAGTAGACAGATATACAAATGGTCCCGACTTACAATGATTTGACTTGAATTTTCTGCTTTAAGATGATGCATAAGTGATATATATTTAGTAAAAACTATACTTCGAATTTTGATTTTGACCTTGTCCCAGGCCTACCAAGGTGCTGTATGATATTCTGTTGTGGTGGTGAACAAGTGGCAGCAAGCCCTCAGTCAGCCAATTGAACACAATGGTAAGTCACTGATGCTCTTCTTTATGTACTGTGTTACCACATGATTTTGCCCATAGGCTAATGTAAATGTTTTGAGCACATTTAAAAAAGGCTAGGCTAAGCTATAATGTTCAGAAGCTTAGGTGTGTTCAATGCATTTTTGACTTTAGATATTTTTAATTTACAATGTTTTTCATGATGTAAGTCAAGGAGCATCTGTATTTCCCTTTCAAACAAATTACACAGTTGAAATACCAATTTTATTAGCCCCCTGCATTTTTGTACTGATTCCATATTTTTCATTTATATTTTTTCTCCCTTGATGTATTGTCACACAACTTTAAATGGCATATATTCTCTGAAAATTTTCCACTCTCTAGCTCCTACTTCAACCTCTCCTTATTTGTAAAAGCTTCAATTTTATATGCAACTGCTTATTTAACATCTCCCTTTGAATTTCTAATAAGTAACTCAAACTTGATGAAAACTTAACTCTAGATCTTCCCCTAAAATCTTGCATGTCTTGATTATTAATTATCCATAGTCTAATAAATTAAATAATAGTCCACCTTCATTAATTTTTAAGTTAATTAATGTCAACTCCATTTTTTAAGGTACATAAGCCAAAACACATGGGTGTCATTTTGATTACTCACTTTCTCTTTCATGTCACATATAATTCATCATGAAAGACTAGGGTCTACTTTTTAATAACTTCTTACCTCAAAATAGCTTTGAACTGTTTTCCCAGAACTTGTCCTTGCTTAGTGAATCTTTTCTCAACCCTGTAGAAGGAATCATTCTGTTAAAATGCAAGTCAATTCACATTCATACCTTTGCTGAAAATCTCCCAATGATTTTCCAGTTAATTTAACAGTGAAAAATCTGATGTTACACAATGGCTTACAAGGCCCTACTCCATCTGCCTTCTGTGCACTTTCTGACATCATTTTGTCCTACCTGCTGACTCACTATGCTATAGCAATATTGGAATTTTTGCTACTTCTTGCCGACATAGGCACATTTCTACATCAGGAGAGTTGCACTTGCTGTTTCTCTGCTTAAAATAATCTCTTCCTACATATCTACATGGATCATTTCCTTGTATTTATCAGCCTTCTGCTCACATGTCCTTTCTCAGCAGGATCTCAGTGGGAGCCCTAATTAAAATTTCAACTGGCTTTTTTCATTACTCTCTATACCTCTCTCCTGCTTTGTTTTTCTTCCCATGAACTACAACCACTAAACACTGTCTATATATTACTCTTGTATTTTCTATATTTTTGTCCCCCACAACACACACTAGAATGTAAGCTCTGTGAAGCAGAAATTTTTGTTGATATTGTTCACTTCTGCAATCTCAGTACTTAAATTTTGGTAGGTGCTCAAAAAGTATTTTTAGTGAAAAACAATCAATGAATAAGTGAATTAAAATTATTTGAATCACTTTTAGACTCCACATGTTGTCTGCACAAGAACTTTTTTTCTTGGAATTTTATTTCTTCTTTAAAAAAACCGGGATAAATGTGCAGAATGTGCAGCTTTATTACATAGATATGCATGTGCCATGGTGGTTTGCTGCACCTATTGACCTGTCCTCTACATTTCCTACCCTCACTCATCACCCTATAACAGGACCTAATGTGAGTTGTTCCCCTCTCTGTGTTCATGTGTTCTCATTATTCAACTCCCACTAATGGATGAGAACAAGCAGCATTTGGTTTTCTGTTCCTCTGTTAATTTGCTGAGGATGATGGTTTCCAGCTTCACCCATGTCCATGCAAAAGACATGATCTCCCTCTTGTTTATGGCTGCATAGTATTCCATGGTGTATATGTACCACATTTTCTCTTTCCAGTCTATCATTGATGGGCATTTGGGTTGGTTCCATGTCTTTGCTATTGTAAATAGCACTGCAATAAACATACATGCTACACAAGAACTTTTAAAATGTTATTATACCCGTTTTACAATTTGGAAATAGAAGCAGTGGTCCTTGAACCAAATAAGTTGAACCAATGATCATATTCAATGAGAACATTTTCTGCCAAATCCCAGAGATTTCTAAATGACCACAGACATTTTGAATATTTAATGTTGCTGGACACTTTAATAGTATTGTAATATTATTCTGTTCTGGTTGTAAATTTCTGCGTTTTGGAGGTTATTTGACAATACTCATTGGGTGATTTTTATATTAATTATTATTGATATTATGGCATGAACCTTGCCCTGATCATATTTTAGTATCAATGTATCTGTCCTAGAAAAATAACAATTTTTTTTTATTGCTCAAGAGTAGTGTATGAAGCATTGTTCTTGTCTGATCTTTGATGGTTTAATAGAATGTCTTTCTGAGAAAAGTAAACCCAGTCCACTTAGGCAAGTTCTCTAACTCTTTTGTCAATTACTTTGTGGTACAAAGGTGTTTACACTTTCTATCTTTCATGGGGCAATATCATTAAAATATATTTTTCAGAATAGTATATATATTATAAATAATATAACAAAATATATACAATATTATAATAAAATACCACAAGCTGGGTAATCAATCAACAATAGAAATTTATTTCTCATAGTTCTGGAGGCTGAGAAGTCCTAAATTAAGATGCTAGCAGATTCTGTGTCTGGTGAGGGCTGCTCTCTGCTTCCAATATGGCTCCTTGTTGCTGTGTCCACTGGAGGGGATGAACACTAGGTCCTCATATGACAGAAAAGACAAAAGAAAAAGCAATGATCTGAAGCCTCTGTTATAGGGTATTAATTCTATTCATGAGGGTGGGGCCTTTAAGACCTAATCGTCTCCCAGAGGCCCCACCTCCTAATACTATCACCTTGGTGATTGGGTTTCAACATATAATTTTGGAGGACACATGGAGAACATTCAATCTATAATAGGTGCCTACCCACCTTAGCACATGACATCACACCAACTTTCCATTAAGTGGAACAGGAGACTTTTGCAGGTCTTTTCTTCTTTGCAGTCTCAATTTTACTTCAAGTTTCTTAGCATAACTTGAAAACCCGGGGTAAGGATGAGGAGGGTTATTTGCTGAGAAAATTAATTTTGCAATTCAAGTTTTTCAGACTCCAGTGGGTCCCACCTGCCCCATCTCCATCACTATTAGCTCAACAGTCCTCTTCCAGATTAGGTAAATTTACTCTTTGGTAAATTTTTCTCAAACTGCCCCTCCTCTTACTGTGTTTACTCTCAGAAATTGATGTGTCTTTTAGTTTACCATGAAGAATTAGGAAACCGAGGGAGACTTTGTTTGTTTGTTTCTCTATGTATGTGTGTGTATGCATCTTCCACTTTTCAATTTCTATATATACTCATGATTTTCATATTATCAGGATTGTTATTTCTAGTTTTCCATGGGAGTGAAGCTTATGTAAATATTTCATATGCTAACAGTTCCAAATTCCAGCTTATTTATACTTACTGATATAATTTATATATTTTTTAGTTCTGTTATATTAATTTTTTCCAATTCATACTATTAGTTCAATCTTGTCATTATTTTATTAAGACTTTAGTTTACTTTGAAAATTGCATTATTATATTTTCTACTTTATTGCTATATTTTAACAGTGTGTTCTCTTTTATTGACCATTATTTATTTCCATTTCATCAATTTTCTTCTCATAATTTGTATGGATTAAACAACATAACATTTTCTTCTTATTTAAATAAGGTGGTTATCTCCAGGCTATTATGAGGAGTACGGGGAAATAACACCACCTTTATGCTCCAAGAAGTCCCTTCTCCGTTTCAAATGTAGTGTGTGTCCTTACTGTGCAGCTACTTCCTTCTCTCTGATTCAGAAATATTCTCTGACCTCAGTACTAAACTCTAGTTTTATAACTTTCTAGGACTGGCATTACATTTTGGAAGATTTTACAAGCTATGTATTTTCTGAGGTTCTCAGGAGTTTAGATTTTTAAAAATGCTATATTTTTACCCAAAACATGATGGGGTTTTTTGTTTTGGTTTAGTTTGGTTTGATCTGGTTTTTGACGTATTTGTTTTTTTGTTTAGATACCGTTTGGAGGCTATCAGGATTTTACTGAGTCCACTTAGAATTTGGCTTGATTTTTATGTGTGTGAGTTTTCTTTTTTCCTTTTTGTTTTTTTTTAAGTTTGTAGTTCTCCAGATTGTAGAATACATCAGTAATTTCCTTTAACTCCTGGCATTAGATTGATTGAAAATGCCTATTTTATAATGTCAAGGGAGTGTTCTTATGACCACGTTGTTGGGTCAAAGGAACTCAAGGGTAACATATTTGATTAGACGTATGATCCTTCCAAACTGATTGTTATGCTTTTGGAGTTGCAATATAGGTAGCCTATTGTCTTGGCCTTGTTATCAGCAGGTTTAAAATGCATTTCATACATAAACAAAAAGTGATGCCCCACAAAGATCAATAATATCATATGTAGGGACACTTTATGTATTTTCCTTTCAGTAAAAATCTGTTTCATATATTTGAGTTGGGAGTAAGCAGTATTGTCATTTTAGTAAGGTGAAGTGTTTTTTTTTTTAGAAAGTTCAATGGATACTAGTGAAAATTTAAAATACTCACAAAAATTCAAGGATTAGGCAAGAAGCTTTATAGTACTCTTTATATTCAATGTTGTATACTAGAGGTACTAACCAACACAAGAAGAATTAAGAACTATAAAGACAGGAAAGCAAGAACATTTTTATTTCTGGAAGACATTAACATATACACAAAGGATAAAGGAAAATTTACAAACAATGTAAACTAACAAATGAATTAGCAAATTTATTGAAGCTAAAACTAATATACGTATATTGATAATTTTTCTTTATATTAGTTGTAAACTTAGACATATAGTAATACTAATATGAGTATTCCATTTTTAAGATTAATAAACACTATAATGTACCTAAGTATATATTTAAGATAAATATGAGTAAACCCACAGGAAAACCCATAACTTTTTACTAAAGAAGAAATCTAAATATATAAATATATACACCATATACAAGGGGAAGAAAATAAAATGTCACTAAAATGTCATTTATTTTTATATTAATCCATAGATATAATGCAATTTCTGTCTTATAAAAATACAGGAATACCTTGGAGATATCACAGGTTTGGTTTCAGACCACTGCAATAAAGTGAATATTATAACAAAGTGCATCATACAGATTTTTAGGTTTCCCAGTGCATATAAAAGTTATGTTTACACTAACTATAGCCTATTCAGTATGCAATAGTATTATGTCTAAAAAAATCAATGTACGTACCTTAATTAATTAAAAAATACTTTATTGCTAAAAATGCTAACAAAATGAGTACATGCTCTTGGAAAAACACCACCAATAGACTTGCTTCATGCAGGGTTGCCACAACCTTCAATTTGTAAAAAACGTAATATCTGCAAAACACAATAAAGCAAAGCACAATAAAACAAGGTAAGCCTGTATTGATTTTTAAGTTATTCTTAAATTGGCTAAAGGATTGATAATACCTAGGACAATTTTGAAAACAAATTAAGGAAGACTAGGCTGCCCTACCATATATTAAGGTTTATATGGCTATAGCATATAGAACTGTGATACTTGTGCAAATTGATAACAGTATTAAAATTTGCAAGAGTGCTGTGATCTTGGTCAACAGTAATGGTAAAATAAATTCCCTAGCCTTTTGTGTTCCAGAATACCTCTTACTGCAAAGAAATATGCTTTTCCATATGACTTTGGTAGGACTCAGGGATGCCCCCCACCCTTTGTTTTTTATCCATGACAGGAGAAGTACAAAATCTCAAAAGTTTTTGCCACATAAATGATTAGCTGAACTCTTTCCCTCCCACTGATCACTTGGAAGAAAATAATTGGTAACCAAATTTTGACACCTGAACTTCGACTCAACCTCAGCCAGAGCCAGAGCACAATGCCTCCTTAACAGCCCCTTCTGAAAAAGGCTGGCTCAGGGCAGAACGTTCTCTGATCTCCTGTTAGATCATGCCAACCTAGCTCATCCCACTTCACACAACCGGTTCTTTCTAGCCTTATTTACTCCTCCCTGTAAAAGAAAAAGTTTTCTGCCTAACCTTTAAGATTCTTGCCAATCTTACACTTGGCTTGTTCTTTCTATTACAATAGTCCTCTCAATTACAATTACAACTGTCCCTTTCTATACACTTGCAATAATCCTTTCAGATAAAATCTCTTCTTATTTATATGTGGAACTGTTTTTTATTTGAAATTGACTAATGGAACAGAATGGACAATCTATAGGCAGATCAAGAATTTGTGGATATTATTGTTATAAGAAGCAGGAATTGTAAATCAATGAAGAAGGTATCAACTATTTAATAAATCACACGGAAAAGGTATAATACAAACCCATTACATATACAAATAAATTTCAGATGTCTTAAAAGACTTAAATATGAGATAAAATGTTAAATTTTAACAAGAAAATACTGTATGTATTTATGACCACTGTCAAACACGTCTTTAGACAAGATCTGAAAAGTACAACTCATATGAGTAAAGTTGTACATTTAACTTCATTAGCATGTATATTTTCTGAAATAATGGAGGAAGATCTATTTTACAGATTTAAAAAGTAAGGACCAATCTAGGATTAAACATCTGTAATGCCTAGAAAAAAAATTGCATATTCAGAACATATAAAGAAATTCGACCTTTCCTTGTTCTCTTTTCTTCTCCAAATTTTCTGAACAATTCAATCCAAAGAACATTCAGTGCCTAACCAAGGAGAGATGAGAGCATGATTATATAGAAACGACTGGAGCTTGAGCAGTATGGGAAGGGAGGGTGTATATGCTGGGGATAGGGAGGGTACTGTAGAGGATGAGAGGAGCTGACTTAAAGTCCAAAAGTCTAGCAAAGTTCAGTGTTGGGCATACTGAAGTAAGAGATTCAAGAAGGCAAGATTCAGAGGACAGTGAAAATGATCCTTGGGCAGAAGAGAGAATAGTTTCCATTGGGATAGAAGAAAAGATATCTAGAATGATGTGAAAATTTAATAACCATGTGTAACAAACTACTCCATAGCAGCTTTTGGTGTGTGGTGTATACACATTTATTTCTCACTCAGGTCTGTATGGGAGGTTGTGGCTGTGCTGGGCTCTTGAAGGATTGGCTGGGCTTTACTCTAGGCTATTGGTTGGGTTCAGGTCTGCTTCAATTGTCTTCCATTGGGCATTTCGGGAAATTCTTATACTGCTGAAGTGAATGGCCCCAGTACAAAAGTCAATGCAACCATAAAAACAGCCTCTGCTTTTGTAAGTTCTTAAATCACATTGGCCAAAGCAAGTCACCTACCTGAGCCCACAGCAACGGGAAGATTTTAAATATGTCCTGAGAGGAATGAAGATGTGGACATGAGAGGAATGGAGATGGGGACATAAAGAATGATTCCCAAGCAATTCTGAGGACTTAGAAGTGGTTAAAGATCATGTATTTGGTAGTGTTATTGGTCTGGACAAGTATTCAGCCATTTGTGGCAGTATTTTCAGTGCCAAAGAAGATAATGCTGATGGCTAGTTCATTTTATAATGACACTATTTGCTTTATTATTTTCCTGACATATTCCTTTTAAATATATAAGATAAATACAACTACTGCCTTTATCTTACAGGACAGTGGGTGAGTAGCAATTTTACTTTCCAAGTCTCCCAAGGGACATCTGGCAAATCTCCATATATCTTAGGTCTTTACAACTGGAGGAGCGTGTGTTACACATTTACTGTGGAGGCCAGGGATCCTGTAATGTGTAGGACAGCCCTCCACAATGAAGAATTATATGGGCCAAGTGCCAGTGGTGCTGAGGTTGAGAAACTCTGTTTATAGATGAACAAACAGGCTTACTAGGTAGAGTAATTTGCTCAAAGTTACACAGCTGAAAATGTTAAGCTAATAAACCAGCGAACTGGATTTGAACCTGACACAGAGCCCTGGCTGCTCTTTTTGCAATTATCTGATAATAATTTAGATTTGTAGAGATGAAATATGTACAAGTCAACAAGGTTTAGAGTATGGGTATACAAAAGGGTGGAGAAAGAGAATAGAAGTAGTGATGACTGGATTTGAGAACAAAGAAGTATAAGATAAGGGTGTTGATAGAAATGCCTGCAAAGTAATATCACTCTTGTGTTTGATTATAGTATTTCAATGGATAGACTGTGAGTCAAGTATTATTGTTGTTAAATGATGATATCAGTGAATAAAAGGAAGTCCTATGAGATTCAAAATAATAGGTGACTCTTATGAAATTACCTTTTGTGTAGGTGGAAAATGGTTGAACATTTTCTACTTTATGTGGTTCGATCTACTAGTTAGGATTTCTACCAGACAGTGAAAAGTAGTGGTTTGGAGCTAAGAGAATACACCACATCTCTACCTCCATGTTCTCTGCAGTTGGGAAGAGGGAGTGGTTCCTGCTAAAGATAGCTGCAAAGAAATGATTCTTAGGAGAACTGCAGACCTCAAATAAGGAGGCTGCCACATTGCATTCATCCTTTGGAAGGAATGGTCAATTCCATAAGTTTAAATTTTATCTGCTTTTCTGGAATAAAGCCATTTAGGAACAAAACATTCAAGCAATTTGAATATTACCAAACAGTATGTGTTCTTTTAGTAATATAGTTTTAAGTGTTCCTATTGTGGGGAAGAAATCCTTGAGATGCAGCAAGCCATCAAACAAAATACATAATACGCTACTAAAGATCTTATAATTTATTTATTTTGTTGCATTTATTTGTATTCTTCTCCTATTCTTCTGTTCTCATATATTTTTATTATGATCAATAAGGTTAATTTGGGGAGGGAAGATATTAAAATTGTTTCAAATTATGATCTTATCAGTTTCATAGCTTCTGTACATTCTTTAAAATTGATGTACTATGTTGTTCCCAAGATTTTCATGTTGAATAAGGTATTCAAAGAATTGGACAAAGATATATAGATATTTAAGAAAACTATATTCACACAAATTATTTTATGTGAGAACAACCTATACTAATGCAGGCATATCATATTCTTTAAAGAGCTGTATAAAAATTAAGAAAAGAGTATTTTTATTGAAAACCCTGACACTTTCTGAAAATTAGAAGTTTATGTTACGAAGGAG